>NC_000013.11:71741439-71892954 GCF_000001405.40 Homo sapiens | reverse complement strand
ATACATTTCAATAAGGCCAAAATGTCAAGATGGTGGATAATGAGATAAAACTGTATAAGGAAAGATTAAGATGCTTTAAATAAAACTGCATTTACCTGTGTAGCTTTAGGATTTCAGTAAACAATTAACAGACCAACAAATAGCACTCACTTTTATCTTCTAGCTCTCCTAGCTTTCTAGACATGGATAAGTAGATTTTCTGGAACCAAACTTCATATTATCTATTTACAAGACTCTAACTTAATATTAGCAGATTGCAGACTCTATAATTAGCATTCATAAACCATTTTTATAACCAGTTCTGAATTGGTTTGTAGGAATTGGTATCTATGACACTGTCTATACCTTTCCGGTGCTATAAATTTTTGTCTAGGACATAATTATCTGACTCCCCAAAATTCTGTCTCATAATTACATGTACATGTAAAGTTTTTGTTGCATAATGGACTGTGTAAGTGAGCAATGCCATATTTGCAGTGGACATTTATTCACAAGAAATAGTGACAACTTAAGTGAAAAATTATTGTATAAAACTAGAAAATTGAATAAAGCACCTAGAAAATGCATAAAACTAGGTGGTAATCAGAATGTCAGGACAGATGAAGAAAAAAGCAAAAGCATCAACTCAGAAGCCCAAAAATGGTGGTGGTGGTGGTGGTGGTTGTTTTGCATAAATTGTCTGTGTTTAAAGTTTTCAGCATCATATGTACAAGAAGAATGAATGCAGATATTTTCAATTTTCATCTGCAATATCCCACTTTAAAAAAAAAATTGAATCAGCCAGAGAGTTAAACTTTTCTATGTGAAACTCCACAAAGAAGTTGAACAATTACTGAAAGTAAAAACAGTGAGGTGGCATAATTATAAAAACTTAGAGAAGGGGCATGGCAAGTACAAATTGATTATAGACTTTAGTCTTGTTTGTTGTGACATTTCATGAACAAAGCTTTAGAAATGAATGTCAGGGAAATGTTCACATTCTATCCTAGTCCTGTGGTCCTATTTTTATTAGTTTCATTTGGGATTTTCATATATTCTTAAAATTATTTCACAGCTCATTGACAATTTTAAGACACTTGTCTAGGAACTCAGCATGCTTAGAATGAATGTAAAGTAATGAAAGAATAATGCACAGAATGGAAATTTTGTTCACTAAGATCTCACCCTCACAACTGCCACAGCCTTACAGAACAGCCTGGGGGTAGTCACAACACAAATGTCTCTGTTTCCTCACTAGGGGAATGAAGATAATCATACGTATCTATCTGGCAGAAGTGTTAGGAGAATTAATTAATGTTTAGAAAGGGCTTTAAAACCCTGGATGAAAGTTACTAGGTAAGTACAAAGTGTTATTATGATCATTTTAATAGTTATGATTACTGAGATATTAAATGTATGATATGTATTGCCCTGCAAATTCTAGTCTGGGTGGGCACCGCAGTTTACAAATAAATGAGTTAAAATAAAATAACTTTAATGTTTGGGTTTTTATTTTGTTTTCTTTGTGAGACAGAGTCTCGCTATGTTCTCAAACTTCTGGGCTCAAGTGATCCTCCTGCCTCAGCCTTCCAAGTAGCTGGGATTAATTTTAATACTTGTTCTTAATTTTGTTTATAGCAATGTGTGAGTGGGCAGGACACTTAACTGTTTCTGTATTTCTATTCCTTAACATTTCATTTTAGCTTTTAAAAACATTCCTAAAAGTGAAGTTCTATTTAACAGATGACTGGTAAAGATAAATGGTATTAAATAGGGCTGTTTCTCCTGAAGTTTCTAGAAGACATTTAGTGCTGAAATCCACAGACTGCTAGAATGAGCTATACCTGGAAGAAGCAAAATCCTTGTCTCTTGATGGGGACAATATTGAGAAAGGTGGTTTAAAGGGTGTAGTGTCCTGTCTCCCCAGTAAACCTTCCCTATTGTATCCAGCTTTTAACCAAGACTGAATGGCATGGATGGAGAGAAAGTAAAGCACACCTAATGGAACATTCCATTGGTAAGCTGCAGTTGTGAAATATGGCTTTTAGAAAGCATTTCAGTGGAAGATCCTTAACTCCAGTAAATTGACATGGACTAACTAAAACCATTCAAAAACTTACTTTTATGTTTGTTTAGATTTTTAAAAATCCAGAAATGAAGAATAGGGGCAACATAAAGAAATACAAAGAAACACATTAACATACAATATTTCAAATTAAGGATATTCTCAATGGTTGAATAAAGCATTCCATCTTTAAATCTTTTGGGTCTCTTGAACCCTCCATTTATCGTACGTGTTCCTTTCTCATGAATATATATTATGTAAGAGTTTATACAGGTGAATGAAGAATTAGTATAGTTCTGTATGAAAAATAATTATAAATAAGTATCTGACTTTCCCTTTGTCTTATGTGAATCTGAGTAATCAGAAATAGAAAACTATTTGCTCTCACCCTACTGTGTCTCATTTGTGTACTGCAAACCAAATATAAGAAACCAGGAATTTTTAGAAATAACAGAAGTAATAGTGAGTCCAAATTAATTAACATATTTGAACCAGTAGAACGTAATCACTTGCTGGTATGAAAGTTGAGAAGTTTCATCTAAGTGTAGAAAACTGAAATTATTTGTCACAGATACGGTGCCCCATAATAAAAGAAATAAAATAGGAGATCTCAATCGTTGATTTAAATCATAAAGAGAAAGTGAGCTCACTTCCCATTGCATCAGGAGAATTGGTGCTGTGAACTCTGCAAGTGAGGTTCATTGCATGATGTCTTAGGAAAGTGATCGAGATTATGAATTTTATTCATGCTTGTGCCTTTAAACATGACCAGTTTACTGGATATACTGAAGAAGTTGAAGCAGAAAATGGAGATCTGGTTTGCTTTAATGCAAGCAGATGGCTAGGTCATGGAAATTCTGAAGAGCTATACTCAGCTGCTTTTGTTACTGTTGTTAATGTTTTCTACATAAAAACTAACAATTTTATGAAAATGAAAACTTTTCTAATTGAATGTATGCATCAAATTTTGTGCTAGGCAAGGATCTTTTTAGCATGGTAAATATAAATATCAGAAAGGTTACCATTTAACCAAATTTCAGCGTACAATTCAGTGGCATTAAGCACATTCACAATATTGTGCAACCATTGCTACTGTTCATCTCCAGAACTTTCTCATCCTCCCAAATGGAAATACTGAACCCATTAAACAATAACTCCCTGAACCTTCCTGTCCCCCAGTCCCTTGTAACCTCAGTTCTACTCTCTAACTCCATGAATGTTCGTATTCTAGGTACCTCATAGAAGTAGAATCATACTATGTCCTTTCTGCTGCTTTATTCATGTCAAGATTTTTTTTTTTAAATAAAAGGACTGCCCTAATATTTCTGGCCAAAGGTATCAACTCTAGGCCCAGCTTAGCTTCATTTTGTCTCTAGAAGTTCCTTTCTTCCATAAAATTACCTACAGACACTTTCAGTATGGAATCAAATAATTGTGCCCTAACGGAATATACATTTCTTCAAATAAAGAAGAAAGCTTTAGGCTTCTAAGTGCAGTATTAGTGATACAACCAGAGTATATAAGAGACTCATACTAGCCTCCTAATTGTGACGTTTTATAAGGGTAACTTTGCATAAACTGCTTTGGATCTGCTATTATGTTGCTCTTTTAATGCATTTTTTTGAAAAATTAATAAGCTATTTTTAATCATTGCCCATTTTTGACCAAAGAATAAAAAATAAAGCTTATTTTCAAAAGAACTTCTTATCATGTGACCAACTTTTTCAAAGCGTAGATACCCTTGTCTAGTCTTATCTTTAGTCATGGTCAATTTTTTCTTATGACTTATACACTTTGCTAGTTTGATTTTATTCCATTCTGCTTTTTTCTTTAATGTCACTGTGAGTTAGAACTTTTCTGTGTTATTCACATCAAGAAAGCAAAGTCAAATGGCACAGACAACAAAGTAAACCAGGCTTTATTAGCCCCAGTAACTGAATGTCCAGAGATAGGGCAGGCTCCACAGTTGCCAGTTATAGTGGTCACCATTTCTTTTGGTTTGTTCTGTTTTCTGGAATCTTCGCTTCATTTCAAGTCCCCTTTCCAACATGACTGCACAATGTTTGCCAGAAGCAATCGAGACCACATTCCCTCTCTGCCAACTGCAGAGAAAGTGAGAGCCTGTACTTCTGTCTCAGCATTTCAAATAGGAATGCGAGATTTTTTTTGGTACCACTAAAGTCCATGCCCACCCCTGGACAAATGACAATGATCAGAGGACTGAAAGAATGTGCTTAAAGCTTAAAGCAACTGAAGACTTATTGCTAGGAGGAGTCAGTTTTCTCCAAAGCACCTACGCTATGATACTGAGGTAATTCTGGGAGGTAAGAAGGGGGACAGGGTGCATGCCGATCCACCGCAGTATGACTCGTTATCACGTCCTGTGAATAAAATGAGGAAATATTTCAAAATTATTTAAAAATTTACATTGGGGAGTATGTGGCCATTCTCAGGTGGAATATTTCATCTAGATATATATTACTTTACTACATATAAAGCTTGAGTATACAAACTTTTAATTTCCTAATTTAGAAATCTTAGAGCATAGTGATAATATTTGGATCAAGGATAGCATACAGAACATGAAAAATGACTCTCATCTCTTTTCTTGTTGACATATGATAGAAAAGTAAAATGCCTGAGGCCAGGCATGGTGGCTCATGCCTGTAATTCCAGCACTTTGGGAGCCAAGACGGTGGGATCACCTAAGGTTGGGAGGCTGAGGCACGAGAACTGCTTGAACCCGGGAGGCGGAGGTTGCAGTGAGCAGAGATTTCGCCACTGCGCTCCAGCCTGGGCAACGGAGTGAAACCCTAACTCAAAATAAATAAATAAATATTCAGATAAACTTTAGCTCCCAATCTGAGGACATTGCTGTCCTTTTCCTCTTTCTCTTTCCTTCCCTTTTTGTGGAACAAGAGCAGGGCTGAAGAGAAGTGGTGGAGTTAAGAAAGTTTCAGAATCTGATAGAGCTGGGGGTAGAGAATGCAGTGAGGCTTAGAAGGTGGGTAAAGGGCTGGGGTCGCTTAGGTAGTCAACCAAAGGGGCCATGGCAAGATCATAGGCTAATGAGACAGCAAAATGGTCAAGGTCAAAGAGGTAACAAGCAAGTTTGGGATATTGGTTATGTACAAGGAGATAAGACAAATAAGTACATACATTGAAGATAATGGAAGTCAAGTTTCTCACTATCAGGAATACAGATATTGGAGAAACTAACTGAAATGAACATGATGAAATTACTGGATTGGAAGTGAAAATCTTGTATAAATTCACAGGATAGATAGGTAGATAGATAAATAATAGATGTAGATTGAAATAATGGATATAGAATAGATACAAAACATGTGTGACACACACAGATATTTTTTCTATTTACTTATCTAGAAATGTATACACACATCCATTTATTTCTTACTTTGTTTACTGAGAGGACCTAGAAGCTATGAAGTACACGTAGCAATGAGCACACCTAACCCTGGACTCTTAAGTCTTTTCTAGTGAAAGGCATTTTCATTAGATAATTTTTAAGTGACTTTCACTTTCTCTAATACATTTTTTGTAATTCTATTTTGTTGAATATATTTTTACATTCTATTAATGTGTTTGATTCTTGGTCCTGATTTTGGTTTTGATATATAATCTTCCACAAGAACCAGATTCCTTAGAGAAATGGCTGATTCCAAGACCATTGGCATGAAAAGCACAAAAGGAACCTGGACCCTGTGCCAGAAACTAAGAAACTCCCAAAGAATGACATGGGCATGTCAAAATGACAGAAGCCAGATGGAATAGACTCCAACTGAACAACAAATCTGGGCCAATGTCAACATGAAAATAAAGAATAATAAGGGGAATACAATAATTTAAATTAACAAAGTCATGATTTCAATAGAAGACAAAGATTTTTCTTGCAATAAGATGACAACTTGTAAATGTAGAAAGAAAAACAGAAATAGATGAACACAATCTGGCAACCATCACAGTGGTGGTTGATTCAGGTGAGTCATGAATGGATATTAAAAGCCAAGGGAAGAAACTACAAAATATAGGGGGTGGTACCAGTAAGACCACAAAATAAGATGATAGATATCAATACAAAAATATTAGTGATTTCAATACATGAAAATGGACTATGTGACCCATTTAAACCACAAAGATTATGCAAAGGGATTTAAAATAAAGGTAAGGCCGGATGTGGTGGTTCAGGCCTGAAAACGCCAGCACTTTGGGAGGACAAGGCAGGTGGATTGCTTGAGCCCAAGAATCCGGGACCAGCCTGGGCAACATGGCAAAATCCCATCCTACAAAAAATACAAAGAAATTAGCTGGGCATGGTGGTACGCCCTGTAGTCCCGGCTACTTGGGGGGACCAAGATGAGAAGATCACCTGAGCCTGGAAGGTCAAGGCTGCAGTGAGCCGTGATTGCTCCACTGCACTCCAGCCTGGGCAACAGAGTGAGACCATGTATCTAAATTAATTAATTAATTATACTAAAATAAAAGAGTTCCATGTTGTTCACAAAAGATATCCTAAAATATAAGGACATTGAAAACAAAAAATTTAATAAGGTTATAACAAATTAATATTAAAATATAAAATGTCCACTGTGTTTATAAGGATATATTAGACAAAATCAATTGAAAAAAATGTGTTAGAGAAAATGATAGCCAATTAAAATGATAAACATTTCAATTCACCAGAAAGACATATGTATTCTACCCTTGTATTACCTCAAAACAGAGCGTCAAGTTATTTAAAGGAAGAGTTGACAGAACTATGAGGGACTAGACTAATCCACACAGAGAGAGATTTTAGCACAGCTCTCTCCATAATGATAAATCATGTAGTCAAAAAAATCAGTTAGATTATGAAATCTTTGAACCACAAAATTAATAAGGTTAACTAAAAGAAGCACATAGAATATAGAAACCAATTACACTCGTGATTGTAGGATATGCTTTCTTTTTAAGCACACATAAAGAATTTAAGAATACTGATTATGGCTGTATTACACAAATGACTACTCCAAGGATCCCTCAGCCTCAGCACTGCTGACATTTTGGTCTGGATAATTCTTTGTTATAGGGATTGTCCTGTGCACTGTAGGATGTTTAGCAACATCCCTGCCCTCTACCCACTAGATGCCAGGAGCAACAAACACCCTTTATCTTCCTCCCTCTACCCCTCCATCTCTGCTGTTAAACTCATCAATTCCTAGAATGTTGAACACTTAAACATATAAAGCAAAAAAACAAAATTAAAAAAAAATCTCAAAGAATGAGGTTATGTTCTTAGGATAGGGAAATTTCTTATGCAAGACCCAAACAGAGAAATCTATAAAGGAAAATCTGGAATTTGACTATATTAAATAAAGAACTTCTGCTCATCAAAAACTATCACAAATAATGTGAAAATAGAAGAAACACACTGGGAGAATATATTTTTAACATATTCAGAATATGTAAATTCTGTACATCAAAAAGAAAAACATAAATGGTAACTTACATAACTTATAATGGGCAAAAGAGCAGACACTTGACTGAAGAGGAAAATTCAAATAGCCAAACAGCATATAAAAAAAACTCAATCTTAGTAATAAGGTAATATAAATTAAAGCTGCAGTTGGATTCCATTTTATACCCCCTGGCTGCAACATTTCAAAAGTTTTATAATATCAGATGTTAGAAATGATGTGGAACAACTTTTGAAATATTTGGAAACCACTTGACTCCATCTTATAAGTATGAAGATGTGCAAACCCCATTATCAAGTCCAATACTAGGTATATACCCTAGTATCTTAGTCTGTTCTGGCTGCCATAACAAAATACCAGCAACTTAATCAACAGAAATTGATTTCTCACAGTTCTGAAGGAAGGGAAGTTCAAGACCAAGGTGCCTGCCAATTAGGTTTCTAATGAGGGCTCTCTTCCTGACTGCAGATGGTTGTCTCATTGTATTCTCACATGGCCTTCCTTGGTGCTTGCTAGAGAGACATAGAGAAATAGAGACAGAAAATCTCTTCCTCTTGTTATGAATCCACCAATTGTATTGGATTAGGACCCTATCCTTATGAGCATATTTAACTTTACTTCCTAAAAGCCCTATTTCTCAATACAGTCACATTGAGGGTTAATGTTTCAGCATAAGAATTTGGGGCAGGGACCATAACTCAGTCCATAGCACCTAAGAATGTGTTGCATATGTCCACCGGTTAACATATGCAAGATTCACAACCAACACAACTGCCTGGTGAAACCCCAGCCCCATTGTGATGGCAGTCTCCTAATGACCAGACAAATCATGAAGCAATCACAGAAAACACAACCCAGCTGAATTGACCCAGACCAGAAGCGTCATCCCAGACCTCACACAAAAGAATAAGCTAAATCAAATGTGATTTTTTTAAGCTGCTAAATTCTGGATTGTACGTTTATGCAGAAAGAGCTAACTGATATAATAGGCTAGATATTTGAAATATCTCTGAATTTACACATGCTTCAAATTTATCCAAATTGAATCCAGTGAACAAGTGCTTATTATATGCATATATGTCTTTTTCTGTAATTATATAGGACAAAATCCCCTACTCTCTAGCTGGTGAGATAAAAAAAAAATGAGATACAAACTAATTCAAAATGTAAATGACTAAAGATGGAAACAGTAGTTCAAGGCAATATTTTAATAGATTTTACAAGACAATGGATTACTCATAGCTACATAATGGATAAAATAAATGATAAAAGAGAAGTGTTTAGACTGAGATTATCAGGAAAGTTCTTAAAGATGAGGTAGAATATAATTATTTAAATCATTTATACTTTGATATTTTATTCATTTAAAATTTATCTGGTCATTCAGGTGAAGTTTAACTGTTTCCCAAAAAGCAAAGTTCAATGTGAGGATTGTCATATATTAGGCAATATGCTAAACCCTGTAAATTAAAATATGATTGATACTTGTTCCCTGTAATTAATGAAGACTGATACCATATATGATAACAAATTAAAAATAGAGGTAAGTATCCCATAGAAGTGGGATAGTTACGTCTTTCATTGGTTTAGAGCATCCTTTTTTATTTCTTTTTTAACTTTTAAGTTCAGGGGTACATGTGCAGGTTTGTTACATAGGTAAACTTGTGTCATGGGGGTTTGTTGTATAGATTATTTCATCACCCAGGTATTAAGCCTAGTGCCTATTAGTTATTTTTCCTGATCCTCTCTCTCCTCCCATCCTCCACCCTCTGATAGGCCCCAGTGTGTGGTGTTCCTCACTATGCGTTCGTGAGTTTTCATCATTTAGCTCCTCCTTAGAAGTGGGAGCATGCAGTATTTGTTCCTGTGTTAGTTTGTTAACGATAATGGCCTCCAGCTCCATCCATGTCCCTGCAAAAGACATAATCTCATTCTTTTTTATGGCTGCATAGTATTCCATGGTGCATATGTATCACTTTCGTTGAGGGATGTCCTAAAGGGTAAAAAATCATTAGGTAAGCAAATAAATATTGGAGGATATAGTCAGAACCAAACCCCAAACATGTGAAATAACACAGTATAGTCATACTACTTGAAGTAGGTCGTTTCTTATTCAATAAACATGGAGGAACATCTTTATTTCAATCTCTGTACTAGAAAGAAAATACAATAAAGAATAAAATAGAAATGGTCCAAAGGAACTCTTACCAATGCGGATAGTCACACAATAAAAAAGCAAACAAACTAAGGTAAAATTACAAGTTAAAAATAATGCGGCCAGGCGCGGCAGCTCACCCCTGTAATCCCAGCACTTTGGAAGGTCGAGACAGGCGGATCACGAGGTCAGGAGTTCAAGACCAGCCTGACCAACATGGCGAAACCCCGTCTCTACTAAAAATACAAAAATTAGCTGGGCATGGTGGCACGTGCCTGTAATCCCAGCTACTCAGGAGGCTGAGGCAGGAGAATCACTTGAACCTGGGAGGCAGAGGTTGCAGTGAGCTGAGATCATACCACTGCACTCCAGCCTGGGCGACAGAGCAAGAATCTGTCTCAAAAAAGAAATTAAAAAAAATTATGCCATGAAGAAAAAGACCAGAGTGCTGTTCAAAGTCTAATGAGAAGCGATTGAAGTATTTTCACCAGAAGAGTAGCATGATTTAATTTGACAAATTTAGCACTTTAGACTTTCTAAGATAAAAATTATAACTGGAGCTGAATTGTGTCCCCTCAAGATTTATAAGTTGAATCCCTAACCACTACCTCCAAATGTGACTGTATTTGGAGACAGGGCTTTTAAAGAGGTAGGTAAGTTAAGATGAAGTCCTTAGGGTAGGCCCTAATCCAACCTGACTGATGTCCTTATTAGGATGCTTAGAGAGACACCAGGGGCATCTACAGAAGAAAGACCATGTGAAGACACAGCAGCAAAGTAGCCATCTGCAAGCCAAGGAAAGAGCCCTCTGGAAGAAACTGAACCTGCTGACACCTTGAGATTGGACTTCTAGCCTCCAAAACTGTAAAAAATGTTTCTGTTGCTTAAGTCAGTAGTACTTTGTTACTGTAGCCCTAGCAAACTGGTTATTGATTTCTTTCTGTCTGCTAGCTAGCTAGCTATTTAAAACAGGTCAACAAATGGTCACAAAGTAGAGATAATAATAACAAAATAAATATTAGACCTGGAGAGTATCCAAATACAAAAACAGGAAAGATAAAGTCTCCTAGGTCAGGCTTAGTCCTAATTTGAACTTCATGCTGGAGGTGAAGGAGTACCATTGAAGAGTTTTAGTATATAGACTTCATGACCTATATTCAAGATTTATATTGAAAGTGGTACTCTCAAGCTCCACTATAAATCTGGAAATAATGTGGATGGATGAAGGGAAGGACTGGGAAAGGGAGTCAGCTCAGAGACTCTAGGAACAGTCCAATCAAGAAATGGTGAAAACCTGATGATCTTAAACTTCCCTGTTGCAATAGGAAGAGTGTCAATAGAGAATATACATCTCTCGTTTGAAGAATTGGGTTTAGTATTTAAGAAAGTTTTGGAATTATCACTGAGAGGAAGGAGCGATGGAGCTGATTAAGGACACATAAAAAGATGGTTGAATGGCTCTCCACTCATATAGGAGATCATACATTCTTCCTGATTGTATAGTATTCTTCCTGGTGTCTGGTGACTTGTCCATCTAGCACTTCTCACTCTTTCACCTGGAAAAGTCTTTTCCTTCCGAAAAATTTCTGTCTCCCATGCTAGGAATCTCCCTCAAATTTGAGCTTCAATGCTGTTTAATTACTCTGCCCCAGTGGTCGCACTGATTGAGCTGAGTGGAGCATCTGCCCCAAGCTGAACCAATCCTAAGGCCTAAATGATCACTGATAACTAACATATTCAGAACTAGTCATTATTCTAAGTTCTGCATAGTAATTCATTTAATCATCATAGCGATGCAATGAAGTAGGTACAATTATCATTTCCTTTTATTCATATAAGAAAATTCAGGCACTGGGATGTAAACTTGTCCCAAGTCACAAATAGACCAGGTTTTACATTCCAGGAATCTGGTTTCACATTCCACACATTCTTAACCACTACCCGATAATGCCCTTGATCAGTTTCTTCATCCAGAAATATGCACCTCTTCCAAGATGACCCAATAAGAATTCTTCCTTGGATTTGTGTCTTTGGGTGCTGGAGTTAGAAGCAGTGTGCATGATTGCTTCTAGAAACTATGAATCCAGTTGTTTAGAACCCAAACTGAGGAACTGAAGAAGACACCTTGACAAACGTGTCTTCAGAAATCAGAGATGATATGAGGAGACGTTTGAATCTCTGGTCAAAGTTATCCCTGAGACCAACTGAAGCCGTGACTTCTATTGATGTGATGATGTGAGCTGATTCAGACCCTTTCTAGATGAACTGGCTTAAATTTTAAAGCTTGCAACTAAGAGTCATGAGTAATCAAGGATACAATTCTGCATAACTGTGGGAGAGTGTTTAGCAATGCTCAGTCATCCAGTGGGATGGCAGATAGCTGTTACTGCTGGCTGGGAATTCACCAGGCAGTTGTGTTAGGAAGACAGGAGCGCAAATAAGTTGAACATGTGAAAAATAATCAGGTGAGAAAATAAGTGAGGACAGAAGGGAGTGGTATCCTTGGGGAAAAGAAAGCAGACTGTGGAGTAGGCTTGGGCAAGTAATTTAATCAGCCAAACTTTAGATGCCTCATTTTCTTACTGGGATAAGACAAATTGCCTATCTTTCTTATGTATTACGAGGATTAGATGAGATAATCCATATAAACTATCTAGCACAGTGCTCACACAGTGCTTGGTACATAGTAATCCATAATATAGTTGTTGTTGAGATTAAGTGGCCAATGGTATGGGAAAATGGATTCGCAGAGAAGGGGATGTTTGAGCGATACTGAGGATCAATGAAGTCAGTTAGATAAGAGGATGCAAATAATCTCCCTTCTCTTATGCCTCCATGCCTACTTGTTCATCCCCTAACTTGCAATACAGGTGATACTAGACTCTCCTACACACATTCCATAGAGGCTAAAGTCATAGTTTAAATAATGCACATAGATGATCTCAGTGATAAAATCTAAGTAATATACAAAGTTAATAAAGACAAAAAAATCCAAAACACTGTTAAGCATTTCTATTTTACGTTTTTCTTTGCAACCAACATAGTTAATTATTAAAACATTAATATAAATGTAATTGCATCATCAGTGATGAAATCTCTCTCCTGCCTGTAACAAATGCGATATCAGCTTGTACTTTGCAATAAGTGATGAAGAAACTTCCAGATGGAGAGGTTTAATTTGTGAGATTCTCCCTAGTCTATTCGCATTGGCTTTAACTTTCATTTTAAATTACAGAGAGAATTCCCAAAATTTCAAATAGCCCCAAGAGATCTGGTGAAATAGCTAATCTCTTTCTACGAGCATGCTAACAAAAGCAATTTCTTACGGAGCTATGTGCTACCCAGTGGGACTGATAATGAATCTGCATTATGGTAACCTTTATAGGAAGGGAAGATAAGAAGACCTTTTGGGGAGGTGTATTTATTAGGTGGTGAATGTGTCTCTCCGCATGTGGATTTTTCTGTTTAGATCCATTTTTCACTCAACTATGCCAAGACCTTCTATCTTTCAGTTTTTGGAACACCTCTGAATTTATACAGCCGATTCTATTACATATCACAGTGTCACAGTGTCAATAAATATCAAACACCAACATGCTGTATAGCTTGCTCACTGTTCCATTGCTCTCATTTTGAAAAAGCAACCACATTTACATAGATCATTGTGGGCTTTATACTAATTTCCCCCTAAGATTTATAGAGTTCAAGCTTCTGCTCACACAGAGTTCTGTGATTATTTATTTATTTGTTTATTTATAAATTGGAGGTAGGGGAGCAGAACTTGCCTGTTGTCACCCAAATATAAAAAAGCGGCATTTACTGGGAGTCTCCTACAGAGGGCACCTTCACCTTATTGGAAACCCAACGGAAAGAGAAACTCAGTGGTTACCAGAATAGTAACTAAACCTTAAAGGCAGAAGCACACGCTTGCTTTGCTAACCAGTTTTCTTCTCTATGGTATCTTTGTTACCTTATCTTTAATGGAAAAGAGCTGGCACCCTTTGTATAATCATTCATAGATTCAGGCCAGTAACACTACCTTATTATTATGTTCAGCTTGCTTGTGGGTGAGCTGGAGACAGCTGTTCATATTGCCTAAGAGGCAACAGATCAATGAAAGGAAGGGAAGGACAAGTTTTGAGCTGCCTTTTTGCAACAATGTCCTTTATACAACAGAGGATATTTTTAAAGCATTGTATTGGAAAACAAAGGCTGATAATAAAGTATAATGTTTACATAACAAACCTTTGCTGTGTTGTTATGATTAGCAAGTGCTTTTAGACTAAAACTACTTAAATGGAAACAAAAAATATATATTTTTGGATAAAAAAAATGCCATGCATTATAGACTATAAATCTAAGAAAGTAATTGCTATTTAGAAAATTCTGAAAATAGGCATGTGTGAGCAAGTATGTGTGTGTACAAGTAGTGTGTTTCTGAGTGTGTGTGTGTGGCATAGAAAGCAATTCCTTGAAACTGTTTCTTTGTAGCTAAATTATTAAAAGATATTTTGTGATCATATTTTTAAAATAAGAGACTATACTCTAAAAAATATAAGTACATATTCATAGAAATTATTCTTTAAAATTTTTTTCAATATAAATTAAGTGCCATATACATTTAGAGGGCTTGACATATAACATTAATCTGATGTTGATTTTTGAATGTCTTATGTTTTATAATAGCTAATAATATTAATATACATAAACTCAAGATGTGTAAACAACACTTTATGTATTTACCTTTGACAATTCCTGATTAGGGGGCTTCCTGTGGAAATTCAACAAGTAGTAGTCAGATTTACTAGAAGAATATTTTGAAATTTTGCCTAAGAAAACTTATCAAAATACTGATGATGATTATTCCTGAATGTTAAGGTTAAAAGAAACATACAAGACATAAGTTTGTCTCTTTACATTTGCATACAAAATACTATTTGTTTAGTTGCTGAATGTACCATCTAATACCTATTATATTTACAATGAAGCTCATCAATTATAGATTAATTATATATTTAATTATATATTTATATTTACTATATTTATATATAATATAATATAAATATATATTATATATTATATATTATATGTAATATAATATAAATATATATATTTATAGCTATAATTTATATATATAATATAAATTATAGATATATATCTATAATTAGATATAGATATAGATATAAATTACAGATATAGATATAATTATAGATATATATAATTATAGATATATATAAATAATAGATATAACATAAATATATAAATTATATTAATTATATAAATAGAATTTCATATTCGGTGCTTAGAAGTAATTTAACTACCAATTGCTACTATAGGCATAAAACATTTGGGTACATTTCTGCTTTCTTTTAAGTTTAGCTTGAAATATACTACAATTAAGTATAAGTGCATTTTAGCTACTGAAATTAGTTTGACCTTACATCTTTTTTAATGCTTTAAGAAGTCAAGGCCTACAGCTTCCTATTAGGACCAAATGTTCAGATTATTGGAAATTTAGTTCTTCTTTAGTAATCACAATTATTAATTTGTCAACCAAATCACTTGCATAAAAACATAACAGAGAACAGCCTGGTAAGCATGTATTTAAATTTATGCTAATGCTATTATCAATGTGTTTCAAAAATCAGTTAAATTAGTTTCTGTGGGAAAAAGACCCATTTTCTAGTTCAGCTGAGTTTGTTGCCTTGTCTGAGAAAATGCCTAGAAATGCTGCATCCACCTGCCCATGCATTCCCGCCTCATTGTTGACATTTCCCGGTGTTTAGTGGTTTCTACCACTTTGTTGCATTCCAGAGCTCGAGGCACTTCTTTGAAGATGCAAGGCCATTCAAGTCTTCCTTACTTTGCAGCTTCACTCTAAAGGGAGAGTAAATGAACAAGCCACGCAGTTCAGACAATTTAAATGTGGCAGCAGGAGGGCATGCGATTGCTCTGTTAGGAAGAGCTGTGAGTGATCCCTGAATCATCTGGGAAACAAGTAGAAAGTGACCTTTCTTGAAATCAGGATGAAAAAAGATCGGAGAAAGAGGCTGAATAGTCCCATATGGAAAGCAGACTGAGGTTGGTAAGAGACTATAGAAAAGTGTTTATGGAATCAACTGCTGGCTCAATTGCTGGCTCATTGCCTGATTTTGCAGCACACTCCAACAGGTAGGTGATTTTTACTGGTGGATGCTGCCATTTTCTAACCAGAGGAAACCAGATCACGAAAGTCAAAGAACCACAAGGCTTTGTGCAGTTTGACTTTCTAACATCACATACAAGTGAAGTATTTCTCAAGATCTCAAAAGGTCTTGTCCCTGAAATAACAGTTGCACAAGTTTTTTGTTTGTTTGCTTCCTTCATCCCCATTATGTTGCACTGTAGCATATCAGTGCATTCATCTAAGTAGCCACTGAGAACACATCAGTAGCTCTATTATTTGAGCACTCTGAGATCTGTTATACAGAAATAGAAACAGAGAATCATGAGTTTAGACCCAACTGTGCCTCTCTATTATTTTTTCAATTCTCTTACATATGAAATGAAATAAAAATATTTCCCCCTTTTACCTCAGAAAGTTTTTTTTTGAGGGTAGTTGGGAGAATAAATCAATGAGGACTTGATTTTAAACCAATACCTGACTTAAGCCTTAACTAGCTGTGAGTACAAAGGGACATTCTCATATACTGCTAATTGTCAATTTTCTCTTTTGCAAGATCAGGAGTGATATATAGGGATGAATCTGTTGAGCTCACAGTGAGAGGCAGACTACAGTTCTATCCTGACAGTGTTACTGAGATTGCCTCAGATCTTGAGGGGAAGGATCGGAAAGCCATTTGTGATGTCTGACATGGTCACAGGGGAAATGGTAGCATGAGATCTGCAATGTTAGGATTAGATGATCTTCCAGGCTCCACTAACACAAAATTTCAATGATGTTATGGTAATAAGACTCAACAGAAATAATGTACAGTAAAGGCTGATAGGGACGAATGTCTTTTTCTCCTTTGCATCCTCAGCAACTAGCATATGGTCGGTGCACAAAAATAAGTATGCTTTATATAACAGAGACTGCTATGTACGTTAAAGTGATGGTGATGTTATAGTAAACAACTTTACAAATTGTTGCACATATGCACGCTTACTCACATTTGGTAGGTAGAATTTCACACACGAATCTACTTTTCTTCCTCCTCTGCAGTAGCACTTCAAGATGTACTCTCACTTATATTTTCAGTCTTGGTGAAGACTCTCTAATGGCTCCTCTGATGACTAAGAAAAGAAGATTCTTTTCTAAATGGGTCCCAAATACAAGCCATAGTTACAGGCCTACGATTCTTTTCTCCAGCTATTTCAGACCCAGTTTCTTAGCATTTCGGATTTTTTGCCCTAAGAAGTGTCCTAAATTCATTGTATATTAGGACAGAATTGAATGAGCATATCTAAAATTTTGCTACTTATCAATATCTTGTTCTGAATCAAACAATATATCATTTGGAGAAGGAGCATTTTATGTAATTTGGGGGCAAAGAAAATGGATCGCATAGCATACTAGCAGTTTTTAATTACCCAGCTAACATTTACTGGGCACCCCACAAGCCCTAATCATTATAGTGGATATCAAAAGCAGTAGAAATGACTTGAGACCACCTGAAGAGAAACATATCAACAAGTGTAAACACATAAGATAATTGTCTCTCCCATCAGAATGCAGTGTGAAAATTATTACAACACACAGGAATAAATCAGCAAAGATTCCTGGATGTGTGGCATCTTGAGCCAATCAGTGAATTATAAATTCTGACTTAGTCAGGAATAGTCATTTTATTTAGTTTCTTCTCCAAATATGAAAGAATATATTATGAAGACATGCTGGATGTGTGAATGAACGGAACTCCGGTTCAAAAACTAAAATGACTTTAAAGCATATGGGAAAAGCATGTGCCTGAAGATGACAGTATTGAAACCTCTCCCCAAAGGAGGTATACTAAGAGCTGGCACTTGGATTGTGCTAAGCAAGAATAAAGAAGTCTGTAAAGAATTCTTAGGAAGTACTTTTTTATATAATTATCCCAGCCTTCTCCTGAAAACTGGAGGAGTGAGGGGTTGATCTGGGAAAATCTATTCAAGTAAAATACTAACACCAACAATTTAGAGCCTGGCATGAATGTTAGCAGTAGACGGTTGCATTACTATTTGTACAGATTATTTTAAAAACAGCTAATTTCTTAGTTTCACATGGGCCAGGTGCATTCTCAGAGCCATTGTGTCTTTTTCCATTTCATTGTTTTAAAACTGCACCTTTTTTTCAAGATTTAACCTTTGCTAAAGCATAGGGCTAAGACACAATCACAACAAAACACCTCCCCCTTAAAACCAGTACTTCAGAGCCCTGTTAAATCAAAAGAAAAATTCTTTCTCTCCTCCCCAGTCCCACAGCCCTCAGGATTTTAAATGGTAATGATCAGTTCATTTGAGAAAATGGCATTTTAGTGCTTCCCTTCACAAGCTCTTAAGGCGTATAAGGTGTCTCTTTCCCAGTGATGTGTACCTCCTTTTGTTTTCTAGCATTACTGGAACTGACCTGGCATGGATCACTGGGTGAGCAGGCAATCTTAAACACTTCTCATATAAATTACTGGTTCCTTTCCAAGTGCAATTGCTCACAGGGTAATACACCATTTTACAACTCTGATAGCAAAGTCTCTTCGTTCTACTGAGTTCCACACCCCCCACTAATCCCACCATCAGGAAATGTACAGACAAAAAGACTGATGGAGATGTGAACCTCAGAAATGTAAACTCTTGGTTCAACTTCCAGTATGTACATAGTGGACAATTTGGAATCCTTCAGTTCTTCTCTTCCCTTCTTGAATTCCTGTCAAATATTCTTTTCTTGGTTTAAAAGCCACCAATGAAAACAAAAATATCAAAATAACATACTTCACATATGTAGAAACTAAAAAAAGTGAGCACTAATGAATATGGACAGCTATTAAAATATATTTTTAAAAACTTTCCAGAGAAGAAAATAATGCTCACATTTTATGATTTATGTTTATTAGATAGAAATGACACACTGTGCTTCCATGCAAATGAAGCTCATGTTAAATGAGCACTCCTAGATGCACTGGATGCTAATGATGGCCACATTTTCCAAACCAATGTCTTTTTTCCCATAAACTATAATGACAAGGTGTGTTTTTACTGACAGTTGACTTGGATCAGAGCATGCAGTATTGTATTTCAGGTTGTGGCTTTGTAAAACCCTGTAACTTTCTTTGAAGTTAAACAGTGTCAGTCTGTTTCCATGTCTGAATAACTCTTAGAAGAGCCTGCCTGACCCAAGTCAACTCCTTGAAACATACTATTTCCCCATAATTGATGTTCCAAATGAATGTCCTTTCATAATAAAATGTGCTGGAAAACAAAACAGCTTTGCATCCGGCACAAGTTGCATCATAATTAAATTTTATTTTATCCCATCGAGGCATGCTAAATGTTGAGCAAAATATAATTTTAAGTAATTTGTTTGTATTCTTATCTGTAGGAGTTGGAAATTAACAGCATTGCTAGTTTGCGTTTACTGTTAAGCCTGGAGAGCAGAGAGATTGCTTTGCAAACATTACAGTTATTATGTCTGCAGTTGGTACTCTTTGTATAAATTATTGATCAGCCAGCTTATTTTTCTTTCTGCTTAATGGATATTATAGCATAGCCGTTTACAACGCTATAGTTAAGGTTGTGTCAGCACTTCCATTATAATAAACCCTCTGTTACAGGGGTTTATAACTTGTTGTAAAAATTTGCTCTGGGCTGAAACTTGACATACAAGATCTCAGGCTAGAAGGTGGCAATTGTTCTTCTTTCAACTTTTTAAAAAATCTCTTTGTTCTGGAAGGCAATAAATAAATAAACACTTTATTCTTTTCTAACAATCCATGAAATTTCTGACTTCAAATAAAACAATTTTTATAGGCTATTTGTTGGACAATGTCCTCTTCTTTTGAGCATAGAGAAAGAAAAAGGACCAAGATAATAAGTTAAAACAACAAAGCATATAGAAAATCAACAGAAACTTTTATAATGAAGTAAAATACATTTCTCCTAAGGCTGAAAAACTACAGAGTAATTTATGCTTCAATATCAAACATATTTTTATGCTATAACAGATTATACGTCCTCTCCCCACTCTCAACTATGTCTCTTGAGCAATTCATATGCCTTCATGCTGATCTTCTTTAGAGGAAAGCGAGTGTTGGGTTATTTAAAGAGAAAAGAATATGACAATTAGAAAATGCCATATATTAAAAGGTACAGTTACAAGTACAATATTTATTACAAAACTAGGGATTTAAATATCTGTCTGACTTTTTGACCTTATTTCAGTCAAGTGCACCATTCCTCTCACAATGACCTGATTTAAGAGATGAAGGGGATTAATCTCAATTTATATTATTCTTGTTGCTGCTTCCTTTTACAATCTGACTCTACAATGATCTCAATGTATTTATTTTTTTTAATTGAACAGTAGGCTGGGCAGCCCTTAATACCAACCTACAGATGAAATTAAGGACACTTAACTGGAAGTAAGTAGTGATAGAAAAGGATAACTACATTATCATGGAAAGTTGACCATGTGTCATAGAAGCGATGCAGTTTGAAATGAGGGAAGCAATTCCAGGATGAATTTTTTTTTGTGTGTAACTATTCTTCTTGCCACTACCTTCTCTCTTCAATCTGAGTTTAGAGATTTCTGAGAATATACCCCATGACCAGTGGAGTATTTTTTGCCATATGTCACCTTCATCCTGAACCAGGAGAAAAGGTGATGAGGATGGGTTAGGGAGGGACTAACAGTGGTGCCAAATGGCACCATTTGTCTATGGGAACTATGTAAGGTGAATGTGAATAGACAATTACAATGCATTCAGTAAGCATATATACACAGTCCACGCATTTCCATGGTGTAAAGCAGAGCAGAACTATTTATAACCATTTTAACCACTTCTTTATTAAGAATGAAAGTTGGCAATATAAAGTTGAGTGCTTCAAGTTATGATCTGTTCTCCTTCAGCTCCCTACCTTTTGTCCTTTGGGTAATTCATCACCAAGCTCTCTGTGCTTGATTAGAGAATGCATCCTTAAGTCTTATATTGTTCTTGAGGAGAAGGAGGGCAGTGGAAAAGAGAGGGAAGGTATGGAAGTAAGAGTCATCAAAAGTCAGAAGTTGGAAGGAAAAGTGGGGAGACAGAGACTGAAAGTGTAAAAGTAAGGAAGTCTTTGCTTAAGGTAGTTGAGGTTTATCTGCTGAGCTGATTGAGGAGGCAGTGCGTCTGAGTTAAAAAGGCTTGAGAGAGTCACTTGGCATAATTTCTCCATCTTCAATGATTTACTACTGAAGTGCAAACATCAATTTTGGATTCTCTCCTGAGAAACGTTTAACAAAGTCAGTGAACTACTGGTACCCTGATATCTTTTTAGATTTGCCAAACTTTGATAGCTCTTTAATAAACCTATGCTTGAAGTTGATCTTTTTTTTTTTTTCTCCTAAGGAAACAGGTCCATTAGTAAATATGTAGATATAAAAATGATCTTCCTCTTTACCTCTCCATTGTGATATATCTTGGAATTGTTGAGAAATGCACTCTATTGTTAAGGCTATTTGTGCCGGGTGTGCTAATGCACTCTTTGATTGAGTGAATTAGCAGTCATAACAATCTGGCAGTCTGGCCATAGAAGTGTGCTCAAATTGATTTGTGTTATGGCTGGACTGGAAAATCTAGTGTTAGTTGTTTTTTGCCCTGGGGCATTGTTTGTACCAAACTCCACTTTTCATTTAATTTTCCAATACATTTTGAAAGATTGAAATGCTTGTGATCAACATTTGATCTACTTGCATTATTTAAAAAAAAATCTGAAAGTAATTTCAGATTCCAAAAAACCCTGCTTTCAATTAGAGTAAACATAATTAGAGTGACGTCGTGCTTAGAATGGTAAATCTCCTTTTGAATCTATTAAGCATTTTATCTCCTTGTCCTGTCACTGAAAGGGATTCATTCTATATCTGGAATATGCATCTGTATGTTTTTGTGTATGTCTCTAAGAGAACTTGGGAAAAAATTAAAATAATAAAATTGCAATGAATCTTTTCTTCTTGTCATTTCTGCATATGCCCAAATTGTTTCCGTTTCACTTAGTGATGCTATAGAAAGAGGATACTCAAAGCTTTTAGGAAAATTTGAGATATTCAAGAAATACATTCAGATATATATTGCCTTTAAGTTACTCCATCATTTTAGTTTTTTATATGCTATGAAATATGCATTTCCCTTTTTTCAAATAATGATATCAATTATATTGAAACTCTGAAGGTTTAAAGACATGACTTATCCTGGCTTTGTCAATATTTGTATCTTTCTTACAATCTTCTGCTTTGCAGTCATTTACCAGAATTATAATGCAGCATGAATAAACCTAAAAAATGACTATTGATTACAGAGAAAGCTTTGTGAAATGATTTAGTCAGTTTCCCCACTTGAGAAATCAGTGAATAAAATAGGTCAATAGATAAGAATGGAATGGATGTAATACAGTGCTGTGTTTCCCTGGGTTATAAAAAGGGTCAGAAATAAATCCCCATAGAATTCATGTTTTCATACTCATAAAATAAAATGATACTTACCAAATCCCAACTCTATGTCCATCTTTCTACAGATTTATTCTTTTTTAAACCACAGGTTTTGTAAGTATGTTTTTATGTGTCCCTGTTTCATTTCCCTGTCACTGCCCCTTTTAACCAAATAGGATGCCCTCATCATCGGGCTAAAGTGCCTGTTGTCATCCAGGTATTCAGCGGGACTTTAGCTGCAACAGCTACTTTGTATTTTCTTACTGTCTCTTGCAACCTTACAGCTCTTCTCAAAACTGCATTTCATACTGTACTGAACTCTGCATCCTGTGCCGATTTTTGTTAAGTAACAGATAGCAAGACCTGAGACCACTCTCTCTGTTAGTTCCCATTCGTAGGGATCTCATTGTCGGGCGGGGGGTGGGGGGGGTTGTGGGGGAAGGGAGGACGGGAAAAAGGGAGGGGAGGGGCCAGAAGGGGGCAGAGGGAGGGAAGAAAATACCTTCCCTGAACTGGTACAAGCTAAGCTTCAAACGATATCCTAGGAAAGAAATTAAAGACTTCTTAATTAGTGCAGCAATTAAGCTTTCTTGGTAGCATTTTAATCAGCACAGGCCCTATCAAAGGACAAACAGAACGATTTGCAGGTCTTTGAATTTTAAACAGTCTTATTGATTTCAGCACAATACGTCTTCACAAAACACAGGGAGAATTTTCTAATATCAGTTACAGTACTTTGAGTTTTGCTTATGCAAATTGAGTGAAGGTTGGGGAAGATGAGATGGAGAGGACCTGAAACAAGCGGAGATGTAAAACAATAAACAAGCAAGACAAAAGCTCTAAAAGCTAAAGATGCAATGGAGTGAGAATTCAAAATCTCTAAGTTGATTTATCTGTTGTTGTTAAATAACTGTTTGCCTTACTCATTGGCAACATTTCTCAAAAAGAAAGAAAGAAAAAGAAAAAAAAAGGAAAGAAAAAAGAGATAAAACCTTCAAAATTTTCAAGGCTTTTATTTCCTACATATTTTAATTTGTGCTATATGCCTTTTCTAATCCTATTGTTTGATTGAAGGGGTAAGTGGTGGTTCCCTGAACTGATTTTGAGACCTGAGGTCAGGAGAAGGAAGGCTGGAGAGCTCTTATTCAGGTGGGGGCAAATGTCTCTCAGCCCTGCTTCTGAGTGGAGCACGTGCTCGGAGGCAAAGGTTTCCCTGCAGTAGAAAATTTGGAGTTTGCTTCGAAGCAAGGTGGGATTATGGCTTGGGCTGCTATCATTACCTCCTGTCTGTAGCTTCCGAATGTGTCAGGTATTGGGTGAGTGATAGTTTAAGGAAATGTAAAAAATGAGAATGGTAATGGCAGATGCTCGGCATTTAATTCCCATTCTTCCATTTGTGGGTCTAGAACTTAAAATAATGAGACTATAGTTTAGTCTTTTAAAACCATATCAAAATTTATTAAAGTTAGGCATAGAATTCGAAAATAAAATTAGCTTTTCAGGGCTTAATACTTTCTTCCTCCCCTCCCCTCATTATAATAGTAGTTTGGTATGTCTTAAAAAAGTAATATTTTCTAAAACATGCAAAAATACTTAAGGAAGTGTTTTGATGTATGTGATATATATTGAATTCCTACTTTTACCCATAACAAATTTGAAGACTGAAACATAAATAAAAATTATTTCTGAATGTATTACAATACATTGGTTAACCAGGCCAAACAACTGTTTAAACTTTAGTTGTCCTTGCAGAAGTTCATGGACTTTTCTGCAACAATCGATTTTCTGAATTCTTATCTCCCAGGAAAGCCTCCTGATTTAACTGCTATGTCCCAAAAATTTTAGTATAATCATACACTAATTAGTCCATAGTGTCATATTTCTATTTTTCGGTAGACAGTTCCTGCACTATTTGACACTGCGATTCACAGAGTTCAAAGGCTTAAAATGATATAGAGAAATGTGATCATTTCAACACCAGAATGGCAAAAATTTTATTATAAAATTTCCCAACCCTGTGAACCTGCTACTAACAGTTTATTTTAAAAATCTGTCAAATGCTAAAGCATTGCTTCATATCTTATGAACTTACTGAACATGTGTGGACCGGTTCAAAGGCTAACTAATTGAAGATACTTGGAGACATGAGCAGCAAATAGATTTGACCCATATTCAAATGATATGTTAGTCAAAAATCCTTGAATAAATACTTCAGTGCAACAAGTTAGAAAAGAAAAGAAAAGGAAAGAGGAAGGAAAGGAGGAATAGAGTCAGTCTAAACTCAGCCTCATGTTGTTTTAAGCACAGCTACCCAAGTCTTTACAAGTCAACTAGTGAGCTTTGTTTTTGTTCTTCCCATTATTTACAAAACATATATTTACTGACAAATTGAAAAGGACTTTCCAAAACTACAGCAGCACTTTTCAAACATGAAAAAAAAAAAAAAAAAACTATTGTGTTGTCCAAAAAACACATTAGCAATTGGCTTTGGGTCTTAAAGGACATGAGGATAGTTGGTTACTGTGTAAGACAGGTGAATTAATTATAGAGTTTTGGGTAAGAAAACCCTTTTTCCACTTTCTAAATCTTCAAGGATACCTTATCTCCTTGATAGCTCTAGGTTTAACAGGTATTTCTGACTGGCTTTTGGGGAGACAGTGAAGTTATTCTAAATCATCCACATCAAGGCAAGCATTTCTTTCCACAACCTATTAGGAAATATGGAATTGAATACAGAGCTTTCCATTATTCTTAAGCGATTTCGGACTGACTTTCTTCTCACCACTTGAAAACTGTCCTGGAATTTTCACTATCTTTATATAAATAAATAATTTAGTAGAGAAATAAACAATCAGATGCAAAAGAACATTACGCTTTGCTTACATGTGAATTTTCCTCAAAATAATTTCTGAATAATCGTGAAGTGGGGGCTGTGTTTTCGTTTCTAGCTCATTGCCAAAACGCGTGGAGATGGATCCTAAATCCTGGAAGGAGAGAGCTCGGCGCGCTCAGGCTCCTCTTTAAGTTGGCGGGCGATTGTTTAGAAGCTTTGGAAAAAATTACCAGTCCCCGCGGACGAAATGGAATGTGAGACATGCAATCTAACGGTAGTAGTAGAAGAGAAGTAGATGATCTCCCTCTCCTTTTCCGATCGCCACTTCTGTGTCCCCGGCTTTTCCTCTCCGTCCCTCCCACAGTTTCTTTCCGTATCCTCCCCCTCCCCTCCTCCTTTCCTCGCACGCTCCCTCTCCAGTGTCTCGCGCTCTCGGAGTCTCTGCTCCGAGTTCCTGGTTGGATAATTTGGGTTAATACTAGTGAGTGAGGTTTTTGCGGCTTCAAAGGGTATTTCAAGTTTCCGGAGCTCCTCCCCTCTGCACCGTGTGACAACAACAACTCGTCCAGCCGGCAGCCTGCACTTTTCAGCTCATTTTCTCTCTGTCATTCCCCTCTCAATCTTTGATCAATGTACTTGCCAGGGAGAGCCCAAGTCCTTCAAACCTCCTCCTTTTCACCTTCATCCTTAACTTTGTGCTAGAGCGAGACCCACACAACAACAGCCGACCCTCCCCGCCCCACCCCCACCCCCAAACCAGCCCTCGATCCCAGCCCCCGGAGAGGACTCGCATTTCGACTTGCGGGACACTTTTGTGCGTTCCTCTCCAGAGCGCCTCTCGTGCTCGCCCCTCTTGCGCTCGCTCTTTATTACCTTCACCTCCTTTTCTCCCCCTTCTCTCCCTTTCTCCTTCTCGTTCTCTCCCGGAGTTGTTGTTGCCCCCCTCGCTCCTTCTCCCCCCTTTTTTCCCCTTCCCCTCCCGGGGGTGTGTGGCAACTTTTCCTCTCGCTTCTCCTCCGTCTGTTTCCCCTTATATGTGACCATGGCAGTGCCGGCGGCTTTGATCCCTCCGACCCAGCTGGTCCCCCCTCAACCCCCAATCTCCACGTCTGCTTCCTCCTCTGGCACCACCACCTCCACCTCTTCGGCGACTTCGTCTCCGGCTCCTTCCATCGGACCCCCGGCGTCCTCTGGGCCAACTCTGTTCCGCCCGGAGCCCATCGCTTCGGCGGCGGCGGCGGCGGCCACAGTCACCTCTACCGGCGGCGGCGGCGGCGGCGGCGGCAGCGGAGGCGGCGGCGGCAGCAGCGGCAACGGAGGCGGCGGTGGCGGCGGCGGCGGTGGCAGCAACTGCAACCCCAACCTGGCGGCCGCGAGCAACGGCAGCGGCGGCGGCGGCGGCGGCATCAGCGCTGGCGGCGGCGTCGCTTCCAGCACCCCCATCAACGCCAGCACCGGCAGCAGCAGCAGCAGCAGTAGCAGCAGCAGCAGCAGCAGCAGTAGTAGCAGCAGCAGCAGTAGCAGCAGCAGCTGCGGCCCCCTCCCCGGGAAACCCGTGTACTCAACCCCGTCCCCAGTGGAAAACACCCCTCAGAATAATGAGTGCAAAATGGTGGATCTGAGGGGGGCCAAAGTGGCTTCCTTCACGGTGGAGGGCTGCGAGCTGATCTGCCTGCCCCAGGCTTTCGACCTGTTCCTGAAGCACTTGGTGGGGGGCTTGCATACGGTCTACACCAAGCTGAAGCGGCTGGAGATCACGCCGGTGGTGTGCAATGTGGAACAAGTTCGCATCCTGAGGGGACTGGGCGCCATCCAGCCAGGAGTGAACCGCTGCAAACTCATCTCCAGGAAGGACTTCGAGACCCTCTACAATGACTGCACCAACGCAAGGTGAGTCGGGGGGGATAGCCCCCGCCGCCCGCGCCCCTTCCCACCAGCCTGCTCGCCTGCCCTCGCTCCTTTCCCGGCGCCGCTCGCTCTGCGCGCCCGCGAGCCGCGCGCCCCGGCGAGCGCGGCCCTCTCCTCTCCCTGCTCGGGGCTCGCCAGCCGCGCCCGACCCCCTGAGAAGTTGGCACCTCACCCTGCCCAGACCTCGCTCTTCGGCCCGGTCCTCCCCTTGCCCTCTGGGTCCCGGGGATGGGCTGCTGTGGGATGTGGGAAAGCCGAGCCTCGGGGCGGAGGGGACGAGAGGGAGGAGGACGGCGCCTTTGCTGGAGCCACAGCCCCCTGCCCCGGGCGCGCGGGCGCCTGGAGACCCCTCTCAGCGCTGCTGTCCGCGTTCGTGCGCTCCCCAGGACCTGGGTTCCACGGCCAGCCTCCCGGCACCGACAGGGCTGATCTGTGGCGCCGAGCGGTGTCCCGGGGGCGGGGGGAGGTCGTGACCTGCTCCGCAGGGCTCGGGGAGCGGGGAGACGCGCTCCGGGTGAGGGCCCCGCTGGGAAAGGCGAGGGAGCGGACCAGCACCCGAGGAGGGCACTTTGAGGTCGGGAGGGAAATGACCCGCGAAGCTGAGAGACCGGGTCCATCCCGGGGGATGGGCTCCGGGGACTTGAGCTCCGAAGCCCGGAGGGGAAGCCAGCCGAGGGGAGGGGTCTGTGTGTTCGCGCATGTGTGCGTGTGTCCGCGTGTGAGCGAGTGCGTGTGCAAAGGAAATAAAGGGGTACGGTGGCCCCGGGGCAGATGCGAGGGCAACCAGCAGGTTTTCTTCGGTAGGGGGAGGTGACCGATTGCCCGAGACTCAATGGAAGCTGAACTGGAGAGATTAGGAAGGAAAGCCACGGAGCGCGCTCTCTCTCGATCTCTCTTTCGAGTTCTCTGTCTCTTTCTCTCCAAAGTGTGTTTTCTTTCTGTCTTTCTCTCTCTTTTCTTTTCTTAAAGGTTAGTAGCTTAAGCAGCGAGCAGGTGCACACTTTGCACTGGGATGCTCAGCGGCCCTGATACTCTGTGCCTTGGCTTCCCCAGCCCAGCAAAGCGCGCGCACGGAGGAGGCGGCGGGACCGGTCCCCAGCCAGACCAGTTTTATGCTAATGAACGCTCAGTGGGGGAGGATCTACCAAGAGGGGGCGGGAGTGGGGCAACTTGTCAGTTTCGGGGTAGAGATGATCATTCCACCCCCTTTCACAGCGCCGCTTTGTCCCCACGGTTCTCTGCAAGGAAGCGCAGAGGCAAAAGTTCAGAGTGAGATTCCGGGAGAAAGAAAATAGGGAAAGTTGAAGACCTGAAGCGGGCACGTGGGAACTGCGCGCAAAATTTGCGCAGAAACTTCGGTACCCTCCAAATAAGTTTGAAGATTGAGAGAAGGAGCGGAGTTAGTGTGTGCTCCCGCAGAGATAGGGAAACTTAGGTGGAAAGGAAGTGTAGCAAGGAGACCAGAAGGACATTGGGTTGAAAAAGCGCTAGCTCTTTTTTCCATGGAGAAAGACTTCTTCTCTGTTAGTGCCCGGGAAGGCTGTGAAACGAAAAAGATTCGAATTCCAGTCCAGCAAATGTCCTATCCTGACCTAGCCAGAAATTCTTTTCCGTGTTTAGGTATTCTTCCTTCCATGGGACTTGGGTGTGTTTGGGCTTTGAACCTTCGACTATTTTGGGGTAAATGTTGTGTGTGTGTGTGTGTGTGTGTGTGTGTGTGTGTATGTGCGCGCGCGCGCTCAAAAGTATGGACAGGTGGCAGTAAAGATGGGGGGTGGTGGGGGTCGCGGAAGCAAGATCACTAAACGTCATTTACTCAGATAATTGGAGTTCTTGGTCGTGCAGAATGTAAAATATTTGCCCAAAATCTATATTAAAACTATTTGAATCAGGACAGGAAAATTGTTCTGGAGTTATGAAGAAAGCTAGGTGAAATTTGAAGCTAGTTCAGATACGATTGTTATAAAATTGTCTGCCTATCCAGTAAATTGGTGAATTGCTACTTTTTTTTTCTCTTTAATAATCAAACATCTACTCTCCTCGGTATCCTCTTTATGTGTTTCTTACAGCACACTAGATACTAGATAATTAAAGGCCATTTCACATACACACACGTAAACACAAAAAATTACTGGAGAAAACTTTCTTCAATGACTGCATTATAATAAATGTTATAATCAATGTTAAACTCGATTTATTCCCTGAATTTTTGCCTAGATTTGAAGTCCTCACCATGTGGTTGGAGAATATTCTTTAACTTTTAACTAAATATTTTTCAAGTTTTTTCCCCCTGAGGTTAACAACAGATCTGGAGTTTAAACTTGCAGAGCCAAGATAAGTTAAATCCAGTGGAACTGTTTATCTCTTCACAAATATCTCATCACTACTGTAATTATGTTTCAGTCACCTGGCCTTAATAATTTGCAATTACATGTGTTGCTCTAAAACCCTATTTCAAGTTATTTTTAAGTTAAAGGCGGGAAGTTTGTTGATTTAGTATTGTATTTGATCATATATCAACTAAAAAAGCTTACTCAAACTTAAATACATGCAATATTGTAGTCATTAACTTGAGAAGGTGTTTAGTTGCAAATACCTACCTTGGTTTTCCTAACTCTGCCACTGATTGAAGAAATTGAGAACTTGTAATGGAACTCCCTCTCACCAAATATACTGTTTACCCTATATTATTATTTTTAATGATTATTATAAGCATTATTGTCTTATTTCTTACCTTTGAAAGCTTTGAAATGTTTTGCATCTTGCATTTATAAAATTATGATTACTTTTTTCATTCAAGTCAAGTTTATATCTTTGCTGTGAAGAACCTTTTTTATTCACCTAGATGTATTGATTTATTTCACTTTGGTTTCTTTCTCCTCTAGCTACTTAACAGGCTAAGGGAGTAATTTATGTAGAGTATAAGAGAAGCTGAGCAAGAAGGGAAACTGTATAAAATTACTATCTATACACCCATATATGTGTGTATATAATTTATACATGCACATATCATAATTTATATACAATGAGAAACATCAAATCTTAGCACTCTCAGCTTTTTACAGAAACTATGTCTATCTCTTAATAGCATGGAATAATAATACCAGGGATTTTGAGGAACCGAAATGATGTTACAGAAAAGTAAGGTTCATAAACTTGCTCAAAGTGGCTCAGTAAGTTAGTAGCAAACCTTCGAGTGGTTTTAATTTGCTTAGGGCTATTGCATTAGTATGTTATCTATGAAAACTAGAATAAATGTTGAAGCCATCTGTCATTACCACAAGGAGGTGAAAAAGAGACTATCACCTGCTAGACAGTAAAGCTAAAAAATAAAGGTCTCAAAACATGAAAGAAATGTAAAGCTAAAAAATAAAGGTCTCAAAACATGAAAGAAATGTAAGGACATATATTTAAAAGTTGTCAAAGGACAAAGTCTGTCCTTGATCAGCTTCCTCCAATTATTATTTCAAAACTAAACATTAGTTGCATGAACTTGGCTGTTGCAACAGAGGTCAGTTAATTAACTGCTTACCATTAAATAACAACAAAAAAAGAAAAGTAATTATGTACATGGTCAAATCTCTGTTTGTATAAGTCAGTTCCCTTTTTGTAGATTTGGGTTAGGATTCAATTTTCCACGAATTCAGGTTTTAAAAAAGTGACCCTGTTTTATTATGTTATCTAAAATATTCATTTCTTTCATTGTTGTAAGAAGATAATTTTTTCTCAGGATCTTTCAAACAAGATTGTGATGTAGGTTCTAAGTAACCCTAGATTTGAGGGGTTTTTAACTTAAGTAGATTCCAGTTAGTCTTATATATTTTTTAGGCACATACATATATTCACAAACAGAATTCTTTTGTCTTAAAATACCATCCATGGACAAAATATTGAAAGTGTTTTATGTTTCAGTAGTAATATATGAATGAAATTGTAGTGTAAGAAGTACAAAACATTTTCCAACTCTTGACTCTATTTTTTTTTTTTTTTTTTTTTGGTTAGGAGTTTTAATAAAGATGGCAAACCGAACCAGTCTATATTTATTTAACATTTGCCCTGTTGCCTGGTTTTCAATGACACAGACTTATGCATTGATATAGAAAGTTTAACATAAATATAGATTCACTTCTAACAGATAATTACAATACTTGGCACAGAGAAATTAAAGAATTGCTTCAAATGAAGAGAGACTCTGCTTTTGAAGTTTTCGTATTACAGTAGATTAATGCTTCCAATAACGCCTAATGTCTCATTTTATATCATTTCAAAAAGAATAGGGCATAATTAGAAGACTAAAGCTTAAATATGAAAGTTTGCTTGGTTCCACAATTTATTTCTGTATGTTTTTAAAGTGTTAGCAAATTACACTTTAATAACTAGTGTATGAATAAAATATAAGAATATTCTAACCTAGAATTTACTTTGTTCAGTCAAATTATACTGCAGGATATAAGTTGTTGAGTTATTTGGATAATCTCTTCCAAACCTGTTGTTTTTCTAAGAGTTAGTCTCTCACAATATCGTGGTTATTTTTGTCAAAAGTGAACATGGTTATGATGATACTTTACTTTCTGAACTCCACATTTAGTTAATGCTCTGATGTAAGAAATTTGATTTGTACATATGATATTTTATTTTGTGAAGCTTCAAATATTATATAAAATAAACTACACGACAGGCTTTTTTCCTCTAGAAAAATTCTGGTATTCACATTTGACACATAGTTTTAAAATCTTCATTTTTTTAGTCCAAATCTGCTTTTTTTTTGGATTATTCTATTAAATCTCACTCCAGTTTCATGTCAACTACTGGGACAAATATTAACCACCCTCTTTTTGCCTCACTGCATCCCCCAACTCCCTGAGATGTGACACCCTATATTGACTAAAGTCTTGGCAGGATTTGAGCATAAATCACTCTTGTCTTTGGCGATTTACTACGTGTGATTCACCAGCATATGAAAACATGATATGCTTTATTGTTTCTCATTTGATGTTTTGTTTTTAGAGTATAAGTAGCATTAGTAAATTAGCTTAATGTGCAACCAAGTAGTTGTTATTTTAAGAACAATTTGTGCTTTAACTATCAATTAGTATTATTTTATCTTTCCAAGTTATTTTACTAAATTGCTTCATACAATTGCTTTTGTCAGTCAAGTAAAATAGTCATTTCGATTGCATTGTATGAGCAACATAGAAAACAACTACTGCAAAATATAATGGGAAATTAAACTCTCACAGGTTGTAAACTGTCTCCCTTTGAATCCTTGTCTGAAGAAATTAATTTGAACTATGCCTTCTAAATAGGTACAGGTGAGTCATCTAGATTTCATTAAACATTTTTATTTTAAGGTTTTTGTTACTTGGTTCTTTTAAAAAGTTAAACTTTGTTTGAATTTATCTTTCAAGTATTTCCTTTTCAGCTTGTTCACCAAAAAAAAAAAAAAAGTCACATTAAGTTATATATCTTTAGAATAACAGGAAATGTAAAAATGGATATTATTGGCTTGGGTATTTAAAAATGTAATTAAGATAAAGTTTTATCATTTTATGTTTGAATTGTTATAAAAATAGAATGACCTTAGCATATGTCAGCATGTGCCATTTTCTTACTGAGGTAATGCTTTGTGATTGGCCAGTTTAAGAGATGTATATCTGCATGCATGTGTGTGTGTGTGTGTGTACATACGTATGTCTAAATACTACATATTATATGTAGTATATTAATATATTTATATAGTATATGTAGTTTGAATATTCTAGCTAAGACTACACTTATATTTTCAGGCTTTGGGACTGCATTAAGGAGACCCTTCTCTATTATGTTTGTTATGTTCAATAATTAAATTTTTAAAGAAGAAAACTATGAATTAAGAGCCCACCTAATGGAGCTCAGATAAGTGTAACAGCAAAGGCTCTGATCTGCACAGATATGTACATCTCAGGCACAGCAGAGGCTCTGTGCAAACCTACATTTTGCTCAAATTTCTTGTTTCCTTCTTCTCAATCTGCCAAAAATATTTCTAGTAAAAAGTAATTTTTGCTACTGTGGCTGTCTTGTAACTAACTTTTATTTGCTGATATTCGCTTTTTAGCAAATGTCACATACAGGAATGACTTCATTAGGATAGTATAGTTAGTTTACCAAATTATTGCTTTGGAAAACAAGAATACCAAGGATAAGATATTTATATTTGGTCCACTAATTAGTTATTATTAGATTACTGGTGGATTACTTTATTTGTTACACCTATTTATTTTAAGGAGGTTTCTGAGAATCTGTTAAGAGTGTGTCCATTGTTGCTAGTTTTAGGCAGCTAATGATTAGCTTTATATATAAATGTACAAATGACAATGAAAAGAATTTTCAATCCACTATAAATTAGTTATTAGACAATCAATAAAAAGGTCATTGTTTTTCAAATTAATGATACAATTAAAATTAATTTAATGAATAGCAGATAAATGTCCAATTAAAAAATATATGTCACATCACATATAATGACCCAAATCACCACTTGATCCAAAGTCAAGGACCTTGAACCAAATGCATTTAAAATGTATTGGTTTATTCGGACATAGATTTCCTTTATAAGAGAAAAGCATTCGAATTCACCCATTTAAAAAAAATCATCTTTCATTCTTTCTAAATTGGACATTAAATTTGCCAATGACTGCATTGTGTTAAAGGTGTGGTCCTTTTGCTTTCTGATCCAAATTGGCTTGGAATTGATCCAGGATTTCAAGCTGGGATTCTTCTGCACATTTAAATGTATGTGACTTGATTGGAAGTTGTCAAAGACAACTCATTAAACTGGAAATCTCACTATGTCATTGTTTAATTGGTCTTTTTTTGTTGTTGTTATAAGTATATTGAAGTGTTGTAAACTACAAGCACAGCAACACACTGAATAGCCAGTTACTTTTTAAAAAAGTTTTAGAGAGTAGTGATTGATACTGAGAGAGAGACACACAGAGAGAGAGATACAGAGAGAGAGAGAGAGAGAGAGAGGCAGAGAGAGGCAGAGAGAGAGAGTGCTTAACTGAAGTATCTATAATAATGTACCGTACAGGTTGAATACAATACCTGGAATACATTACATTTTTCTAGCAGGAAGTAAAAGTGAAATAAGCCAGGCACAGAAAGACAAATACTGCATGATATCACTTACATGTGGAATCTAAAAAAGTTGAACTCATAGATGCAGAGAGTAGAATGGTGGTTACCAGGGACTGGAGAGCTGTTGGTCTAAGGTTACAAAATTTCAGTTAGATAGGAAGAAAATGTTGTACAACGTGGTGATTATATTTTCTATGATTTGAAAAATAGAAATAAATATACTTTGATTTGACTATAAGTAGATCTTTAAGAATCCTGAAGTGGATTTTGAAGATAGCCTATATTTTTGACAAAAAAAATATGGATATACTTTTAAAGCATGATTTTCATGAAGCAAATACTGCAATAGGCCACATAGTACATTGGTTGATGTTGATTGGTAACATTGAATAATTGAGAAATGTTTTTGTTTCCTTAGCGTATATGAATGGAGTGGTAAACATGAAGTATTAAAAAGTCACAGTGTTAAATGATCTTTGAATTTGTATGGTATCAAGTGTTTGTAAATAATTAGATTGCCTTTCCAGTTACAACAGGAAAAAAATAACCTTATTTTTCTTCAAGGGCAAACAAAATATATCTTAAGAAAGAAAGTGTACTACTTGAAAGGGAGATATTTTATGGAAACATACAGAAGCATTTGCAGTAAATATTTATCAATTCCATTTAAGGGATACTGGTCATTTCTTCAGTAAAGGCAATGAAAATAAATCTCTAGAATATGTTAACTAAGAAATAGTGTATTACATTCACTTATCAGGCAGATGGAGTATTTTGTTAAAATCTTAAACTGTATCCTGATATTTTATTAGTAGCAACAGTAAATGGGCTGTTTTATTCATAGTCTTATATTTTAAAGACATATTGTTTATGTATGAACAAAGTAAATCACTTAAGGTGTAACAAATCTTTGAACCCATCATAGTTCTGCTAAAATATACTGATGCATTCAACAGTATTACTTTCTATTTTATGTTTCAAATTTAGGATTTTTATTTAATTTGATTATTCAAAATGATATTATCTTCTTGAGTTAGGCACTTACACTTAAATAGTGCCTTTTGATTTTAAAAGAATAACCTGGAACACTTTTATTTTTCATAATACCTGTCACACATTTTATATGAGGATGAATGTTCTTGTGTGTGCAACAAGTGTAAAATTTTTATCAGTAGTTTAGAGAACTCTGTGGTGGATATTTTTTATATGTATTAGCATTAGCTCATTTGTACTCTATGCTTTAAATAATTGTCGTACATTTGGTAGAAAAGCCTTTACATACATGTATATGTGTTGTGTAGGAATACATTCACACACACACACGCAAACATAACATATACACCTGTAGGATGTAGGGCCACAGGACAAATAACTTAGGAAAATACAATTGGCTTTAATTTTACCTTTTTGTAGCACATAAAAACATGAAACAATACATCAATAAACAGGTCCTATTTTACTGAAATACAACAGAAAAAAAGAATTAATTTTAGAGTTAAAGAAGTAGTTTATACTTAAATATTTTAGATATAATTATGCAAGGCTATATGGTTATTAGGACAGTGATTAAAAACAGCTTAATTTTTCTAAACCTTTTTTATGATAATGTACTTTAAATTCTCTGTTTAAAAATATATGTATAAGAATTATTTTATTTGTATAAAATAGATATTAAACGATTGGGTATTAGAATCTGTACATTATTAAATGACACTACATGTGCTTGATGCCCTTGCTCTCTTTCTTTTATTGGTTTATTTCATTGCTTCTTGCACTTAGAGCCAGCATATCCTTTAGAATCAGTGAATAAATGATAGGAAAACAATTTCATAACATAAAGGAAAAGAGACTGTTCTAAAAGCTTTGCCATCAATGAGATGAGTTAGGAATGAGGTCAGTGGGTTAATCTGCAGGTCTACATAAGGAGATGTGTATTACCACTTCTTGCAGTGGACTATAATTGTCTTTGAAAACACCTAGTAAAGATCCAGTTAAATTGAAATCAATTACTTTCTCAATAATTCCATGGCCTATGTCAAGTCATTACGTCATCGGTAAGAGTGCAAGCAGGCATACATTTTTTGCAACATAGAAAGACGCTTATAAAACAGTGATGACTTAGAAGTTTCTGCTTCATCTAAAGCTTATGGAATTAAAAAAACTTTGTACAAAATATAAAACCTTGTACACAGTATTCGGTAAAAAGTTCATCTTTGCATTTAGATATTTACATAAATACAAGTATTTCACATTACTTTTTGCATCTTCTGGTAGGAGAAAGTATAAGTAAGTGAAAATAGTTTCAAAATATTTTATGATTGTCATCTCTGACACCTTTATTCTTACCCTCTAAGAATGCTCTGATAAGTGTGTACTATAATCAAAGATGAATATATGTCTGCTGTTCACTGATTTTTTTCTTACGCACTGTTGACAGTATGGTACATGCAGATTTGAACTTGTAGCCAGGAACAGTGCTTCCATGCTTCAAATTGCCAAAAGACCCCCAGGGACAGAAACTTGACCTGCTTTTATGAAACCATAGAATTACATTTATACAAGTTACCCCATGGGAAAGGAATGAACTGATCCCAATTCAAACCTTAATATTGGAGCCTTCTGGGTCAAATTTGATTTTTCTTTCTGTTAACACCTGTTTGGCTACCATATTTAGTACCTTTATTCTTAAGAAATTAAAAAAATATTATTCATCAGTGGTATTTCACAGTTAAGCCAAAGTGCCATCAAAATTTTGCAGCTATTTAAGTTTTCTCATGCTATTAAAATGTTACTTTTTAAAACAAAATTCTTCTCTTTATGTATATATCCTAGATTTAAGGAGTATAAACACAAATTTAATTAGATATAAAAACAACTATTTTGTACTTTTTAATCAATTTCTCTTTACTAATGAGTCAGTCCAAGTAGGAGAAGAAACTTTTTTAGGACCTTTTCCTTGTAATAACATTTCCAAATAAGGATTTTTCTAGGAATATATTTAATTTTTCTTAGAGTCACACTTTAAATGGTTATGTATCTAATTTTGCTTTTAGTTGGACCACCTGACAGGGTTTCCAGAATGCTGCTTTTGCTACTACTAATAATAAATGAAGGTGGTCACTGATAAACTGGATGCATAAAAGATATTTTTATTTTAGCTGGATTCACTTTACTTACATGAAATGGGCCTAAGTTGGACAGCTGAAGTTAACAATTTGTTCCAAATAAAGAAGAATTTAGGTGTGTAGTAGTTTGCTTCATTTCTGTACTATGCTATGTCATATAAATGCAAATGGATAACTGATATAAATGGGTAAGGTCATAGCATCTCTACTTGTTTGACAGTATTAAATGACTGCCATTAGATTACAGAATCAAGACCTACTTCTCCATATAGAAAGACTTGCTCTCAATGTTGTATACACCAAAAACATCTTATAGATGGTAAGGCAACACATGTATATGCTGTCACAATTATGATGGTTAAATAATTCCATCATCGGGTTTTGAAATTGAGGTGAGCAAATTCCTTTTCAAATTAAAAGTTAAAAAGAATTCCAAAGACTTTTTATTCTTTTCTCACTTAACATTGAATAAACCATTTGGATAAGTGGTTATTGGTTATTTCCCAATAAGAACCAAACATAAAAGTCTCTAATAATAATTATACTAAATCAATTCTTGGAATAGAGGAAAAATATTACAATTGCCAGTGGAAGGTATACCACTTTCCTTACTATCATAAGTCATGATCATCTAGGAAAAACTATTTGGAGTTTTAAACATACATTGTTGATTCTTTTTCTGTTGGCTGCTAAGTGACAATCCACAAACACTTATTTTCACTGTAAATTAACAATTTTTCTGCCTTGGCCTTATACTTATCATTTGAATGAAGATGAAAAATCATATCAGTTCTTTGGCTGTTTCCTAGTATCACCTGATGCCATATTTATAAAATACCAATATTTAATTATATACCTAATTTCATTTAAAAGTTTACCCCAACTAGTTTCATGGTGATTTAACATGGCTATTGCACTCCACTCTCTCTAACTGTGATGGAAGGAAGGAAAGTAGGTAGATCATAAGATCATTGTGCTGGTCTTAAAAGTAATCTATTTCAGAAAAGGCAACCTAATCTGACTTTTGTAATGGTGATGATATGAAGTTTCTATGACCTTTTTTGTCTTTCAGAGGCACTTTCTAGCTCTCTTTCCAATAATGATTGATGTTACACACCACATGAACTGGAAATAAAGACACGTTAAAAACTCTTGCTATAAAATGCATGAAAGGAGAGGGGAAGTTTTATTTTGTAGGCAATCCTCTAAAAGTAGAGTAATCCTTATTACTGCACAGAATTGTACATGATACTCAAAATAGGAAGCCTTTAGACACCAAACTAAATTTCATCTTCTTACATACCCTTGTCATCCAAATTATCATAACCCACCTTTATTTTTTTTTTGAAACTCTAGTGAAATTGTGCATGAAATAGAAACATTTTACCATGAAATTTACCTATAAACATCTAGCCAAAAACAGAACAAACTCTGGATTTTTGAGCTATTGATATTTAGAACAGATCCCTTAAATTCAAAATTGTGAAATATAATACAATTGTATTTAATTACAGTATTTTATTCCAAGCTTAGGAAATAAAATTAAAATGGCATATTTGATCTGGAGTAAACTTTTTTGCTCTCTTTTTTTTGGAGAGTGGGTTAAATAAGGGCCCATGACAGGAATGCTGTTTGTTTTTCACAAAAGTTGTTTGTGATTTCAGGTACCCTTGGGAAATCTCTTGATCAGTTTCACATCTGTTCCTGTCAAAGTGGGTGCTAAGATACCGGTCACCCAGCAACCATGTCCAAGAGGGAATTGGGCCGATAATAACTTCAAAAAGGAATGACAGATGCTAGATTAGGATGAAAGACAAAACGCATGAAAAATGAGCTTGTTAGAATCAAAAATTTGTTCAAGCACCTTTATGCAAATTAAATGAATATTGAATATTTGCATGCAGTAATTTCTACTTTTTCATTTGATTGAAAGGAAAAGAATAGTGCATTTAAACTCACAAATGTGACTTCTTTCTTTTGTACTAATTAACATACAAAGCAGAATCTCTTTTTTAAAAATCAGATTAGCCACCTGGGTTCTTAGAGCTCCACTAAGTATATTATAATGTTTTTCTTATGAAAATGGTACATTTTAAGAGGACTTGGTTTATCTAATTTTTTAATAATAAACAGTGTCATGTGAATTAAGATTATTTTAGATGAATATAAATCCATTTCTTGAGAAAGCCTTTCAAAAGTAACCTTATCCTGTTGTCCTTGAAATTGGTTAATGTACATTAATAAAAGATCACTCAAGATGAGTTCACACCAAAAGCACAGACTTCTCATTGACTGGTTAAATAACAATGCATTAAAGTAAAGCAGAGTGGTGTGCCCTAAAAGAAAGTAGGCAGAAAGATCTCTTCAAAATTTAAGATGCTCTTTGATACATTACCAGTTTTTCTATTGAACTGTTCAAATACTAATCAGAATTTAGAAGAGCCTGATAAAATGTAGTGATTGAGAGAGGTTTCTGAGTCTTGGTTTAGCAATGTCTAATGTGGTCACGTAGAGAAATTGATTTTCTTCAGAAATTAATTAATTTTTCATATCGCCCTAAGCTGCAGTTAAAAAGAGTGCATACTTGTCTGTTTTTTCCAGAAATATTGCCTAATCATATTAATACCATTGCCCCAAGGATGAAAAGATAATTGTACAAATGCATTTGGAAATATGTATCACTGAGTATTTATGATTAAATTATGCAAATGACCCAGCTCTCATCCTTTCCAGACCCAGATTGTCTAATTAGGATTGATATGCTGAATAGATGTTCCAGAATTTGAATACAAGCATGTCCAAGGAGCAGAAAATTGGAAATGACAAGGCTGAAATCCAAAGAAAAGTGTCTTTCGTTTCTATACTTTGTTAATGTGCTGTTAGCAGTTGAGGGTTTTTTCCCTCCCTTTGGCTATTTTGTGGCTCATATGTCCTTATTAGAAACAAGTATGCAAAACAAATTGAACTTTAGCCAATAGCATTTTATTTGTATTTGGTGCTTATTTAAAAATAATCTCTTGGTCATTCAAAGAGAGCATCGCTATTCCTTTGCTCCAAACAATGTAAACTTACCCTTAATTGGGTGAATTTTTAAGCAAACTTCCTCTGAATTAGGATCACAGCTTTATTTCAAAGCTAGCTCTCTAAACTTAATGGTATACCAGGACAGTATTTTCTAAGGATATGCTTCTTGAATCTATAGTTCATTTGTTCATTCCTTCACTTAAATGCCTATCTTCTTGTAGTTGGAGAACACTGTTTAAGCAACAGTTCTGATTAGGAAAAAAAAAAAAAAGCAGCACTTTAAATGTAACAATGTTTGAATTTGAGGTCCTCAGCAGGCTTTCTCCCTCATTGATTACACTCATTCATCTCAGATGGAGGGGTGGTCGCGAAGAGCAAGGAAGGGACTGAACTGTCAGGACTCCAGCCTTTGTTAAGCAGCGGGTAGTCACTGCCTCTGAACTCGGCTGGCTCCTGCTTCCCATCTGCAGGATGATGGATTGCTATGTTTAATACATTTGAGCTTTTGTCTGTCATAGTGTGGACAGACAGTACTATCAGTGATTTCAACAGTGATTAGAAAACAGTTTCAAACCATTCCTATTGGCCAGAGAGCTTCCAGAAATGTCTGATGAAACATACTCATTGGTACTCTCGCCATGTAAACGTGTAGTTTAACTAGGCGGAGATTGTACACTCACTGTTTAAACTGATGCAGAAGCCCACTGAGAATGACTAAACCACATATCAACTTTTGAAGAAAATACACAAGACAATTTTAAGAATCTCTGGGGTCTCAAACTAAAAATTCATCCGAAGTAGTCCCAAGTTTCAGATGAATTTGTATTCTTTATATAGTAACAACATGTGCTTGATGGCAGGACTGTATTCCATAAATTATGATGTCAGTTGTTGCTATGCTCATCAGTATTGAGCTATCTAGCAATATTGGGGTGGGGGTTAGAATGTGAGGACTATGTGAAAGCAGTAAGACAGGACTTGGCATGTGCTACGCTGGGATTTGCTGAGCTGTGGGGGCTTTGTGGTTCACAAGTCCAAAGGGTGAATGATTTCAACAACAAGAAGGCCACTATATACCAGCTCAGTATTCTCCCTGGAGTGTCTTATTCTATTTACAAAACTGCTGCTAATAAATACAATTAGCTAAAGGAAAAGAAACTATTCTTTTAAGCCATTAATAATATAGGCAAAGTTTTATTTCAAGAAGGGGGCATAATAAATAAATCAAAATGGCCAATAACATCATTATTTACTAGTTATAATGTAATATACTAAATGTAATGTAAATTATAATGTAAATTATAAAATGTGTTTAAACATGGAGTTTTAACTGTAGCAGTAAATAGGTAATTATTAAAATAATAATCCAACCAAAGTTTTGAAACAAAAACCTAAATCAGGAGAAGCTACTTGCCTTTGATTAATCTCTATTAAGAAGGAGGTTAAAGACAAAGTTTATGTGGTCAACAGCAAATGTCTGATGAGAATAAGAACTCCAGATCTTAGATTATATTTCCTCTTACTGATGTTCTGACACTGAAAAATTTTCACCTGGAATCCTTTCAGTAAAGATTTCTGGTCTTGAATATGTGATCGTAAGCATACTCATGGACGTACATATCACAGCACAAATGCGCACATACACACATTGCATTTCTTTTGAACTAGTACAATAGCTAAAGATTTTGTCATTTGACATTACTTGTTTGGTAATAAGGATAGGTTGTACTGTACCTCCTGAAAGAGTTATAAAAATATTCACATATTTTACAAATTGTCTTGTTCATTGTTGCATTTTAAAGTTATTGAAATAGTGCTCAGCTTAAAAGCTGTGCATTCATTCAGCATATTCTAAAGGAGTCATTTGTCAGAGTGACTCAAAGACAGTGGCCATAAGTCCTTCTGTATGGAAATTATATAACTGGGCTTAAGTAAATCTGAATTTTTAAATCCAAATTTTCACAATTTATATAGCACATATATAGTGAATTAATGTATTACTCCTCAACATTTTTGTACTGAATCATGTGTGGTTTTTAAACTTTTAATAGTGAAATATTAAGTAGTTTCTTATTGACTTTATACTTGCACGTCGGAGGTGGGCAGGGAAGTGGCGAAGTGTTCATTCTTTTAGAGAGGGATAAGGTATAGAAGGAAGCTATTAGCAGGTCATATCTCTCAAAATCACTGTGTTGGGAGGGAGGAATCTTCTATCAAGTCAAAGGGAAATGCATGGTTTGGACAACTAGAGTTAAGGATCCTGGCCTTGCACTCCTAGTGGAAGATTGCATGGAAGGGCCCGAAGGTGTTGAGTAATACTCTGTTTTAAAGTAGAGCTATCTCATGAAATGAACATAAATTACTCTGTTACATTACTTCTCTAACTATTTGTTAATAAAATTTAAGGAGGTAGCCAGTAATCAGTAGGGACTTAGGGTATCCTGACTGGGAGACAGACTTTAACAAGAGGAAGGAAGTTTTGTACCAAATGTACTGATGTATACCTATGAGAGCTGTAGATCCTTCCCCAACATATTATAGGAAATATAAGTGCTTGGCAAATTCAAATGTGTATTTTGTCCATAGATGGACCTGTTTGGGCTGTTCAACTAGATCTTGTGCAACATTAGGAGTGTAAGCGTATGTATACATTTTTGTGTACACACGTCTGGATGTACACTGTAGGTTTTCAACTCCTGTTATACACATTGTTAGTCTTATGTTTAGTTAGGCACCATAATTACAAAGTAATACAAGTCATTTGTCTTACTGTAGTTAAATAAACAAAAAATACCTGCTAGAAACTAAGTGAATGAGTTTCTCATGAAGCTAAATGAATGAATTTGATATCTGGAAATGTTTCAGAGTGGAAGAATATTAGAATCTTCTCTGATCTGCTCCATCTGTCTCTAGTACAGTGGCCTCTACATGTGTGCACAGCAGCTCTGGTCTTAGTGTCTAGCTATTACTATTTGGTAGATCCATAGATGGGGGGGAAATAAGGAGTCAGGCCAGCAGGTTCAACTTCTTATTTCTCAGTAGCTTCCTATAATGATTCCACCTCTAATGAGGTGAATTACTACTGCATGAAAAAGGAGAAAAAAGGGTTTTGGCCATCTTAGCTAATAAATCACATTGACTGCCTGGCTGATCAGATCAATTGTGCATAAATCAGTGCTTTAAAGAGTCTTAAAATAAGATTCTACCAAGACCAGTCGATCCACAGGCTTGTGTAACGGCAGGTCTCTTGCCCATAGCAAACTGTGCAGGGGTTCACAGTATTGAGACAGTTACATGTGGCCAAATGTTGAAATGAATGTTTCACATCTCAGAGGCATGGCTCTGGTGTGTAAAGTAGTTAGTTGTGACTGTCAATGGAAGTATTTTCATCTCCTCCAGTTCACACTTGTTACTTAAGGTAGCAAGAAAATTTAATTCTGAATACATACACAAAACTCAGTTTTTTAAAGCGTTAGCAACAAGTGTAATTTTTAGGAAATGTTTCCCACAAAAATATCATTATGTTATTTCAAAAGAAATTGTCATTAATATCCAAGGGAAGTATTTTATTATCACAATATCTCTAGATTTTAGATTAACTAATGTATAGACACCGTAGGGTCATAAGAAGAGTCAGGAAATTTGATTTTAGGTTCCAAGTATGTGAATTGCCTGGGTGAGTGATGTCGGATAGTGGGAATAATGGAGATAACTTTTCTCCTTATTTCAGAAGGTTGTGAAGATAGGAATGCGATTAGTTATTTGAAACTACTGCAGAAATTGTAAGGTGTGTTTCAAGAATTGTCATCTGGGCCAGGTGAGGTAGCTCACACCTGTAATCCCAGCATTTTGGGAGGCCAAGGTGGGAGGATCACTTGAGCATGGGGGTTCCAGACCATCCTGGGCAACATAGTGAGAACCCCCCCATCTGTACAAAAAAATTTTTTTTAATTAGCCAGGCTACTTGGGAGGCTGAGACAGGAGGATTACTTGAGCCTTGGAGGTCGAGGCTCTGCAGTGAGCTGTGATAATGCCACTGCACTACAGTCTGGGTGACAGAGTGAGACTGTGTTTCCAAAAAAAAAAACTGAAAAAGTTGTTTTCTGTTTAGAATTCCCAACTGAATTTTTAAAACTCTCTTACCAGAAGAGCTTACAAAGCACGAAGAAAAATCTATTTTTGTTCTTGCTATCACAATTTGCTCTTCTTTCTAAAGAAATACCAATTAAACTATAACAATCTAAAGGAAGTTGTGAATTCTGAAAAATTACAAAGTCCTTATATACATATAACGTTTATTAAAATTGTATTAACACTAACTTTCAAAGAAAATTTGAATGACAGATTAACATGGTTAAATTTTTGAGAAGCAAGATAAGACAAACATAGTCATAGCATATGTAAAAAAATACCATTTTTTTGGGGGGGGATAATGGCTTCAGTATCTATGGTAACTGTCATGCAACTCTATGAAAACAGGAGATTCTATAGAAAATTAAAGCGGGTATTATTGAATCTCTGATTTCTTTTTAAGTAGGCCAGAGCATTCTATGATGGCTAAGTCTCCAGAATTTTCTTAAACTAAATACAAAATTTATAATTATTCTGTACCAAGCGTCTCCCAGCACAGTGATTTTGAGAGATATGACCAAGCATCTCAAGATCCCCTAAATGATTATTTTCTGTAGTCTCCCGTTTTGAAAATAAATTTGAGCTAGGCATTCAACCATTTAGCAAAAACTTGGTGCCTGTCCAATATTTTGTGAACACATCAATATAATATTACCTATATCCGAATACTATTGTTCTTCCTTTGTCAGTAGATTGATTGCAGTGCCTTATGTTAATACACCTTGTTTCTCCCTTATTATATTGTGAAATTTAGTAAGTTGTTAAAATCAGATCTAATTGATTTTCTCCATGGCATTTGGCTACAAAAGCATCTCATATCCAAAATTCACCACAGGAGAAGAAATCCAGGTGGATTCTTTTGTGGCATTTTCACTTGTGTATTAAAAATTGTGAAATATTTTTCATCACTGTTAACATTTTAAAATGTAGCTATATAGCTACTTGCTGATAGAAGATGATACGGCGATTTTTCAAAGTCATAAATAGACTTTATAACTTGAATGAATTCAGTTTCTGGTAACTAACATTTACTTCCCTGGGATTATTGTGGTGTATAGTTTTGTATCTATTTGTGCTAAAACCCTCAGATACTTTCTAGCACATAGTAGGCACCCATTATAAATGCAATAGACTTATAAGAATTTTGTTTGCATATTATTGAATTACTTGCAAATGCTCTTATGAAATTCATAATTATGGGGCATTTTGATTATGACCAATAAATTAAAATAGGAATGCAAATACATATGTTTTAGATTTTTATATAGAAATAAAAACAAACAAATGAAAATATATGTAACACTAGTTCTTAGGTATATTACAAGATGTCTAATTCCTGGATGCTTCCCATATGCTAATGGTAGTTTAAGCATAAACATATAGACTTCATATATGTATATACTCATATGATTTTATAGGGCCGAGGTTTTGTCTTTACCTTTATTATTATTAATTAAGGTTTGTCTATCAGATTAGTTATGAAAGGTCACCAAATGCATAATTTTTGAAGTATCTAAACATTTAAATTGAGTGGTCAGACCAAAAATAAGAGTATATGTATTAGCAGTTTGATAATTACATGCTACTATTTTTAGTGTTTAGTGTTTGATAGGGATTATATTAAATATTTTAAGTACGTGGTCACCTTCACTCCCAGTAACAGCTAGCAGAAATAGGTTCTAACTATTAGTTTCAAAGATGAGGGCACTAAAGATCAGAGCAGTTAGTTTACTTGCTTAAGGTTTGACAGCTAGTACCTGACAAGTAGAGGTAATAGAACCCAAGAAATCTCATTCTGAAAATTTTATTTCCTATTATATTGTCCTATTCAAATAGTACTTAACCAAAGACTATCTATCTATCTACCTACCTACCTATGGAAGAGTCTGGCCTTGTCGCTCAGGCCGAGTGAGGTGGCGCCATCTCGGCTCACTGCAAGATCCGCCTCCGGGGTTCAAGTGATTCTCGGGCCTCAGCCTCCTGAGTAGGTGTGTGTCACCACGACGGGCTTATTTTTGTATTTTTAGTAGAGACGGGGTTTCACCGTGTTGGCCAGGCTGCGCTCCGAACTCCCAACCTCAAGTGATCCACCCGCCTCAGCTTCCCAAAGTGCTGGCATTACAGGCGTGAGCCACCACGCCCGGCCGATTTGACAAATCAACTTTTATTTATTTACTTTTCGTTAGTCTAAATCTTTGAGAGGTACAGCATCACATGGATTCTGTGTCCAGTGGCCTTAGCAGGAAGATTGCTTCGGAATTTGGCATGAACCATGCCGCTGTTTCCGTGCGCCGGAGTGAACCTTCCCCAGATAACTCTGGATTTGTTTGGTTTGCCGCCAGGAGTCAGTGTGCTGTTCTCGCTTTGTGTACATAAGCGCATCTCTTGCCCAAATACAATTCAGTTTCTTCTTGGGCATAAACACCGTCAATTTTGAGAAGAATGAGCTCCCTTTGGTTCTGGAGACCCACTCCGCTTATAACTAGCAAAAAAAAATGGCCTTCGACCACAGCCTTCCAGACGTATTTTCTTTTAGAAGTCCTGTTCCCAGCAGGCCCCATAGGCTCCAAGACGGCGGGAAAAGACTGAAAAATGTTAACGAGTTCGTTATCATCATAGGGACTCTTATCACACAACAAGCAGTACCGATAAGGTCATAATTTGCTTATAAGATAAAATTTAAAATTGTAGTGTTAATTTATTAATCTAATTTATATCTTCAGATAGTGGTCCTCAGTGGGGAGAAAGTAATACATAAGGATACTGGATTATGGTCTATTATAATTCCAGTCCTTTCTTGACAAATTCTAGTTCACTCTCCATACTTATTTCACAATTCCATCTCGTTAATACTGTCAGAGTAAGCTATTTTGATTATGGCTTGTAAAGCCTACTGTAGGCAGTTTGTAATAAAGTTTCTTTCCAGTTTTTAAACTGATATGTAACTATGGCAAGTTTGGGAGTAGGAACTTTTCCTTTACATGCTGTAATCTAGAATCAGCTTCATCATCCCATGTCAATGACCCACTTGTATAAGTTCTTCCATCCAGTTAGTTTGCCATTTTTTGATGTCTTTAGATTATTATTATTTATTTTTCACAGCAAAAAAGTATTATAGTTTGGTATTTGGCATCCTCATATTCCATATGAATAACTTGTTTTTCATATTGGCACACTTTCATGATGTGCAAATTCCTTAGTGGGGTAGTTCTTAACTTTGCCCATCTGTGTTCATTCACTTTATTTATAATAACATTTTTAGAAAATTGACATATAACAATTGCACATATTTATGGGATACATAATGATGTTGTGATACATGTGATCAGATCAGGGTAATTACCATATCCATCATCTCAAACATTTATCATTTCTTGGTGTTGGGAACACTAAATAATCTTCCTTCTAGCTATTTGAACCTATATCACATATTATTAACTATAGGTACCCTACAGTGCTATAGAACACTAGAATTGACTCCTCTTATTTAGCTGTAATTTTGTGTTGTTTAACAAATCTCTTCCTCTTCCCTCCTTTCTCCTGCCCTTCCCAGCCTTTAGTATCCACTGTTCTACTTTTTACTTCTGTGACATCAACTTTTTGAAGCTTCCACATGAATGAGAACAAGTAGTGTTTAACTTTCTTTTTCTGTCTTAACTACATTTAACATAATGTACTCCAGTTCTATCCATGTTGCCTTGAATGAGAGGATTTCATTCTTTTTTATGGCTGAATATTGTTCCACATTTTCTTTAATCAAGTGTGGGTAGTAACAGTTTTTCACCAGGTTAGTTATTATATAGGGGAAGTGATGGAAGTCTTATTAAGGTAAGGAGTTAACGGTGGTATAGCTAAATTTTGTGAGTTTTTCTGTTAATGTTTAGTGTCTCATCAATGTCATGTCAAAGTCTTGAATCACAAAAGATCATGTATAAATGATATATTGCATAAATCAAAAACAAAAAAAGTATTATTTCTTAGACATTTAGGAGAGGAGGTATAGTATTTCTATAAAATATTTAGCAATGCCTCCCCTCTTTTTAATGGTGGTTTGTTGAATTACATCAACTGTATGTTGAAAAAGTGGGCTGCATCCTGATGTTTCTGATGTTTTTTGCTTCTACTCATGATTGAACCTATTGGTGGATGACTAAATGCATGGATTCATTGCCAACCCCTGCCTTGCTTGCCTGTCCAGGATTACCTGTACTATTTATGCACGACCTTATGTCATTTCAAACTAACAGTATTTTGTGAAACTAAGTAAATTCATGGAAACCTCTGTAGTTGAGCCTTAAAACCATAATTTTAAGCATACCAGAATCACTCAGTTCTAAATTCTATTAATGGATGCTCTTGGAAGTCTCAAATCTTTACTTTTTCTTTTGTAACTTTTAGTGCTAAGATTCAGGTGAGGGGCCCTTCTGTGGGAAAATAAGGATATGCTGAAGGAAGTAGTGCCATTTTCATTTCCCCTAGAGACTTCTGTCTTAATGGGCTGGCTTTGTCCTTTTTCTCCTATGCAGTTTGATTCTTCGCATTTATGACTTCCCTAGGGCAATAATTTGCAATGCTTTGCAAATAGTATGCTCATTTAAATATTGATAAGGAATAAATGTTCCTAGTTTAAGCAATGGGCAAAGCTGCCTGTAACCTGCACCATAAACATATCCTCTTAAATGACCCTGATACAATGCATGGTTGGTGTGCTTTCCTTTGGTTCAATGTACAACGAAGAGTGTTGCACTTGGGGCTTGGTATATAATATATTTGAAGGGAACTTTCAGCCTCCCTTGTATGTGTTTAATAAACAAGAAAAGCTTCTTGAAGAATTGTAAACTTCAGTCTAGTGTGGAAAATTTGGAACATAGAGTACTATCATTTTTCAAAATCCAATAGAATCCTAGAAGCATCAGTACTATGCTTTAAATAACATTCATGATTGGGCACAGTGGCTCACACCTGTAATCCCAGCATTTTGAGAGGTTGAGCTGGGCAGACTGTTTGAGCCCTGGAGTTCAAGACCAGTCTGAGCAACATGGTGAAGCCGTGTTTCTATAAAATACAAAAAAATTAGCCAGGCATGGTGGCATGTACCTGTGGTCCCAGCTACTAGAGAGGCTGAGGGGAGAGGATTGGTTGACCCCAGAGGTTGAGGTTGTGGTGAGCCATGATTGTGACACTGCACTCCAACCTGGGTGACAGGGTAAGACCCTGTCTCAAATGAATAAATACATAAATAACATTCAGTACATTTAAAAATAACTTAAAAAGTGTAATAGGATAGTTTGTGACTCAAAGGATAAATGCTTGAGTGGATGGATACCCCATTCTCCATAATGTGCTTTTTACACATTGCATGCTTGTATCAAAACATGTAACGTATACACCTACTACATACCCATAAAAATTAAAAATTAAAAAAATAAAAATAACATTCAGATAATGCAGGATAGCAAAAAAGAAGCCATACACATTTTTCATAGTGCAGTAGTTTCAATATTTAAATGATAGAAGTGTGTCTGTTCCATAAATTATAAAATGTTATTGAAAATGAAGATTCTCTTTAAACAAATCATGCCTCATCTGAGCATTCACCTTGTTAGCCAGTGCTCTAACAAGACACCCAATTGACAAGTCAGAAGAATAGATATCCTTGGATTGTGAAATCATTTTCAGCCTATTGTTAACCTTACTGAGTAAATTGTAAGGGGAAATATTTTAGTATTTTAAAATTTAACTTTGAGTAATAGGTGAGTATTTAAATATCTTCTTTTTTTTTTTCTTCTAACCTCCACCAGCAATTCCCCATAATCCTTTACCATCTTATTTCCAACTCTCCTTGGAATTCATGCCATTCTTTTCTCTACTTGTCACATTACTCTGCTATCAGAGTCCTTTATAAATATCTTTTTAACCTTTTTAATCAGACTGGGTCATACTCTGTCACCCAGACTGAAGTGCAGTGGTCTGATCACAGTTCATTGCAGTCTCAACTTCTGGGGCTCAGGTGATCCTCCCACCTCAGCCTTCTGAGTAGCTGGGACTGCAGATGTACACCACCATGCCTTGCTAATTTTTTTTTTTTTTTAATAGAAATGGGGTTTTTGCCATTTTGCCCAGGCTGGTCTTGAACTTCTGGGCTCAAGCAATCCACCCACTTTGGCTTCCCAGTGCTGGGATTACAGGTGTGAGCCACCACGCCCGACCATAAAATTTGCACTATAAAGCGTTTTCTCCAATTCTGCTATCAGTATTATTTTTTGTTCACTTACCTTATGCCAAGCACTAATTGGAATGCATTTCTTATCTCACTTAATCCTCATAGCAGTCTTATCTCCATTTTATAGAGGAAGATATTGAATTACAGAGAAGTTAAATAAATTGCCCAAGGAAACAGGTACTAAATGAGTTATCTGAGGCTTTCTGATTCCAAATTCTACACTCTTTAGTACACTATACTTGCAGCCTAAAATGAGTTGTATAACCCATTTGAGCTTCAGTTTTCTCATTTGTCAGTGAGGGAGCCTAATGCCTAACCAGCAAGATGAAAATTTGGGGAAAGGAGGTTGAACTATGAAAATTATGAATTATGAATTATGAGATGGCATTTGTAAACTATGTAGAAGTTAGTAGGAATTCAATAAATGCCTTTTGTCATTTTCATTTTTCCAGTTTTCCAGGTCATACCTAGGAAATAAGAGTCAAGAATTAGGACTTATAGTAGAAAAGTCATAATGACCAACTTACTGGCAGCAGCTCTTCAGTGACCTTAGAAAGTGCAGATTGTTTTTCCCCATTTCTAGGCAGTTTGGTCCTCCTTGGTAGTAATATTTGTTTATCTCTAGTGTCACAAACAGCTGTGCTTGTTTGAGTGGGACAACCACCATCAAGAAAAGACTCAAGGCTGGCAGCTGTAACTAAATTTAATTTTCACCTACATTTCACAGTTTATTTATGGTGAGAAGTGTTTCTATGCAAGCATTCTTTCAGTGAACCAAGAAAAATAGTCATATCCAGGCTCTGACAAAGAACTTAAACTTTGGGATTTTGTTAGAGGTAAAATTAAATAAGGAATTTATTCCTTATTAGAAAATAGGTAGTATCCATTAATCAACCTCTTGCCACCTCCTCCCTCCCCGCTCTCCCTTCCCTGTGTGCAATTATTATGTCAATTAAAAATAACAATAAAAGCAAAAAAAAAGAGAAAAGACATAATTATTTTTTAAAGTTCTCTTTTGAGTTGCCTCACAGCACATATACGTATTAAATTTTATATTAATGCTGTTAGAAACCCTGGGAAGAAAATATTGCATCAGATGAAAGGCAGGTTTAGAAGATAGCAAATAAAGTGGTTTAATATTTATAAACTTTTTAGAGTTGAAATCTTATGATTTCATGGCATCCACATATTTTAGGTTTCAGAAAATATACAGCTGCCAGGAAAATGAATATCCTCTTCATGAAGGTTACCCTATTTAGGCTTCTTCTAAAACATACAGTAAAATACTCCTTGGGCTGGTAAAACAACTGTATCATCATAATCTAGATAGAGGCTAAGAACTTTTTGTGTTTCCCATCTCAACTTTGTACATGTTCTTTAATGTTTGTAAGACGGAAAGAAAAGTGATAAACTCTTCATCCAAGCCCATACATCACATCCATCTTGGAAATCTAAGCTTAAAGACATGAATATAAAAAAATTGAAATCAAATTTATCTGCTCAGATATTGATGTGGTCATTAGAAGTTCTTTTTACATACTTTACTGCCTTGCTCTATTTTTATTTTATCACTTCTCTTATTCATTTTGCAATTTTCGTTATTCTTTATCTTAACTTTGTAGCAATGGCAAAGGATACATCTACATTAATGAATTTAAAGCTTCTGAAATGAAAGCAAAATAAGCAGACATAAATATGCAAAGGCCTAGAATGAGAATGTGAAAAAAAATGTTATTTTTCATGGATTGTAAATTGGCCTGGCTGGAGATTAGGATATATCTATTAATCGGGGTTGTGAGATTGCTCTTGAAATATAGGAACCGGCCAGCTCAAGAAGGGCCCTCTGTGATATAATTAAGGAATTTGAACTTTATATTGTAGATAACAATAAATCACTGGGAAATTTTTTTTCCATTGGAAGATTTTTAATTAGGGGAATGATATGATTGAATTTGTGTTTTGGATAGATAACACAAATTGAAGGCGTTTTAAACCAGAGATTTTAATAATCAGTTTTAAATAATTAAGGCTGTAGACCCAGCGTGGTGGCTCATGCCTGTAATCCCAGCACTTTGGGAGGCTGAGGTGGACAGATCACTTGAGGCCAGGAGTTTGAGACCAGCCTAGCCAACACAGTGAAACCCCATCTCTACTAAAAATAGAAAAACTTAGCTGGGTGTGGTGGTGCGCACCTGTAATTCCAGCTACTTGGGAGGCCAAAGCATGAGAATTGCTTGAACCGAGGAGGTGGAGGTTGCAGTGAGCCAAGATCGTGCTACTGCACTCCAGTCTGGGTGACAGAGTGAGACTTTGTCTCAAAAAAATAAAAATAAATAAATAAATACGGCTTTAGTGGGGATATAGGGAGGAAAACATAAAAGAAAAAGTAAACTAAAATGGAAAGACTTGAAAGAGCTGTGTGGGGAAAGAGAAGTAAGTTGACATTAACTCTCTAGTTTTTGCTGAACAGTATTGTAAGTCTAAGATCATGAGGAGGAGAAGGTTTAGTGAACATAAATAATCCATTTTGAAGACTTTGAGTTAGATGCTTGTGAATTATCCAGGGGATGTTAGAAACATATATTTGGAACTCAAGGGAAAAGTTAGGGCAGAAGCCCTAGATTTTGGTGTGAACTCCTTTTTTAATTTTATTTTTATTTTTATTTATTTATTTTGAGACGGAGTCTCACTCTGTTGCCCAGGCTGGAGTGCAGTGGCATGATCTCTGCTCACTACAAGCTCCACCTCCTGAGTTCACACCATTCTCCTGCCTCAACCTCCCGAGTAGCTGGGACTACAGGCGCCCGCCACCACACCTGGCTAATTTTTTGTATTTTTAGTAGATACGGGGTTTCACCGTATTAGCCAGGATGATCTTGATCTCCTGACCTCATTATCCACCCGCCTTGGCCTCCCAAAGTGCTGGGATTACAGGTGTGAGCCACCGTGAGTTTTAACCGTAAAATAATGAATGAGGTTTTTAGATGGATTTCAAAGTTACTGTATGAACTGACATTTTAATAATTTCTTTATGATATTAAAAGCACTGATTTTTTCTCTCTGTCTTCTGGATTCAAGTAACTTTGAAAACCACATATTAACTTTTAAAAGAAAAAAAGCATTCTTAATAATTCTCAGAGGTCAAATATTATTTTTCCATTATGAATTATTCATAGTTAAATGGAAGTCAAACATAGAGACCTGCAGAGAGCAAGTCTTTCTGTGCTGCTGAGTCATGATTGTGACTCGAAGAAATACCTTTATTGTGTTTGATTCTGAGCTTGTGATAATAACTAGTGTCAAAAGATGGGAACATTCTGTACCGGAATTTGAAAAATACCACTGAATAAAAATGAAAGCTCTGTTAACAGAATTCACCTTAAACTGTAAGCTGACCTTTTAATAGAAAAGCTGCTGCAAACCACAAAGGTAGGCTCCACGGAATGCAGCCGCAGATTGAGTTTGCAGAGTGTGCTGGCTGATTCAATCCAATGCTAATGGGAGGACAAGTGCAAAGGATAGTGCCTTTAAAATAAACACAGACAATTAGGAACAACAAATGAAAATCATGATACCATTGAGAAAGTGAGAGGTCATGATCCGGTGCAAGTCATTCTCAACTAACAAACTAAAATTGCTTCAAAATTGCTTTTTAACTCAACTCTCTCACACCAGATGGCTTATAAACAATCATGCACATTGTTTTGGGTGATACGATTGTTTCAAGGGATTGATACCAGAATTTGGTTTCACTATATCTTTATCTTAACAATTCTATGTAGTATTTTTAACTCTTAGAGTCTGTATGTAATAAAAATTCTTTTCTTCACCAAATTGGTGAGTTTGTATGTGCCAAAATATTTTTGTTAAATAAGAGAACACACTTATAATCAAAACCAATGTACAAAGCTATGACAGTTACATCTACTGGAGAATAATGTGTTGTTCTCACTGAACTCCTTTTTGCTAAAACTTCTCCATTTATGAAATTCGTTACTATTGTGCAGCATCTATATATTAAACAATGAACTCCACATCTGCAAACTTTAAATCATCTATTAACTTTAAAACATCTATTAGCAAAAATTGTCCCACTGGGGGCAATAGGAATCGAGTCTACCAGTTTTGTTCTTAGTTTTTGAGTTTATATTTCTCTTACACCTCTTCACTAATAATTAAATGCAGTATCAACATGGTTTTGAAGTTTAAGCTATCCAAGCCATTTGTAGGTTGGCACTTCTTTTTTTTTTTTTTTCCCTCCCCCCTCCCCCCTCCCCACCACAGTCCCCAGAGTGTGATATTCCCCTTCCTGTGTCCATGTGATCTCATTGTTCAATTCCCACCTATGAGTGAGAATATGCGGTGTTTGGTTTTTTGTTCTTGCGATAGTTTACTGAGAATGATGGTTTCCAATTTCATCCATGTCCCTACAAAGGACATGAACTCATCATTTTTTATGGCTGCATAGTATTCCATGGTGTATATGTGCCACATTTTCTTAATCCAGTCTATCATTGTTGGACATTTGGGTTGCTATTGTGAATAATGCCGCAATAAACATACGTGTGCATGTGTGTCTTTATAGCAGCATGATTTATAGTCATTTGGGTATATACCCAGTAATGGGATTCTTAGACCTTTCATACTCACCTATCTGTTTTGCCTGCCATCATTCCTTCGCTTTAATAAGGTCATTTCTGACCTGGTTGAAAAGGAATATAAGCCGTGTTAATTTTCAGGGTTTACCAATGTTGACTATCTATACCTTCTACCTACAGTGGAGAAGCGGTGATAAATAGGAGTAACAGTTACCCAAGTTTCCAGCTCAGGTGTCTGTTACACTCTCACTACTTCAGCAGAGTGTTAAAAAAAACCCATATTTTAGAAATGCTACTTTACAATTGAATAAATAATACTATTACAGAATATGTATAAATATAAGATACTTTTATCTACCATTGAAGTTGGTGAATCCAACAGTCATTTCATAGTAGGTCTACCCAAAAGCTTTCAAGGAAATAAATGCTTTTATATATTATCATACGTGTAAAACTACTCCATGCATAGATCTAGCTTAAAATAAATTCCAAATGAGGAAGTATATTTACTTAATATTACCTTAAATTTGCCTTATTATTTAAGGTAAATATTACCTTAAAAAATGAGAATAATGCATTTTCATTTCCCCCTTAATCTTTCGTTTTCACATTGTTACTCTCTCCTGTTACTACTAGAATTAAGAGGCCTCAGAATTGTGTGTGTGTATGTGTGTGTGTGTGTATAAAGTGATGAAAACTACATTTTATCTACTCAATGCATATTTGTTATGCACCTAATATATGACAGGCATTTCTTCTAGGTGTTTTGGATAAAAATCCCTACCCTCATAGGGCTTCAATTCTAGCACTCATGGTTAGGGGTGGAGAGGGAGGCAATAAAGAATTAACATAATCAATAAGCAAATTACGTTAAAAATAGGACAGAGTGAGAGAGCTTGGGGTATGAAGAGTGGGATAGGTGAAATTTTAAATAAAGTGGTCAGAATGAGGCCTACCTCACTGAGAAAATGACATTTGAGTCAATATTTGAAGGCGATATGAAGAGCTCAAAGGCATTTTAACAGAGCTTATTTTTCTTTGCATTTTCTCTCGCTTTGGTTTCTAGCTTAGTAGAGGAGGGAAATAGGAAGTATGGATCAGAGTTAATGCTATAAAGCTTTGCATTATCTACAAGTAGGAAAATATTACATTTTTTTTCCTGCAATTCTAAGGGACAAGAACAAACTATGCTGCAGATAAAAACTAGGTTTTAAGATCTTTTCTCTGCCACTTGCTGGCTTGGGGATTGTAGGCACGTTTTTTAAAGTCTGTGAGTCTTAGCTTACTCGTCTAAAAGTGGAATAATCTTGGGTGACATTAAATGAAATTATGCATATTAAGCACTTAGCACAGTGAGAGACATAATAACCACTCAATAAACATTGACTATTAATTTTTATTTAATATTTTAGTCTTTTTTTTTGGAAAATGTAGAATTCTTCATAGCCTACCAAATGGGACTTTCTCTCTAATGAGAAATATCTAGAATACTCTATAATGGTACCTTTTTTCTCAAGATGGTGAAAGGAATAAAATGTGTGATTCAGAATTCTTTGGCTAGATTTATTATTAGGCAATTATTGAGCAAGATAAGGTAAGACTATTACCAGTTCCTGAATCTGAGTACCTATGATAAACTGTGTTCAACCGTTCTGCTTTTAATTGGAGTATTAGTGAACTATTTTATTTTTTCAAGTTGGTAAATAGCCTGCAGTGATTACCATTCACTTGGTTTTGTATTAAGAGGTATAAATATCTTAAATACAATAGAAAATTTCCAGATCTCTGCGATTTTATGAGATAGTAGAAGATTTGTAGGAGAATGTTAGAAAATGAATCTGTATAAACTTTAATGTAAACTTCTTTAAAGTGATTTTTTTGTTGTTGTTTGCTAGAAGATTGACTTTCATCACTTCTTTCATTCCTTCAGAGTGGCATAGATAAGGTAACCATAAAATTAATTAGCCGAACTAGGACACTCTTGAGAATAAACAGAAACAATATTACTAATTCTGTTGGGACAATAGGTATAAACTAGGACTATCATGGGCAAATGGGGATATATACAGTCATGGACCAATAGGGCCTCTTTTTTTCACCAATACATAAAGGATCAATCACCAGTAGCTTAGAGATGAGCAGTTTTTAAAAAGTCTGAGATAATTTTTACCTCTGGGATAATTTTAGGAGACAAGACAAAATTACCTTACTTGGAGGCAGGCCAAGAGAACAGGATTCTTACCCTTGTTGTTTTATTTTCATTTTAATAAGCATTACAGAGTTTCTCATGAATGACAGTGATTGCAAAATTGATTGAAAGCTCATTTTAATTCAGACTTCTCCATACAATATTTTTTCTTTAGTTTACTTCTTCCAGTCCTTTTGCTCTGTTTCTTGTATTTGTATACATCTCAGTAAACAAGCCTTTATTTGCCTTGGCAAGCTCTAGGTATTTTATTCATTAAGTGAACAGGCCGGTTTCTTTTCTAACAGACTGGTGGTTACCATTTCAAACAGCTCCCTTTGGTCTATTTTGGTCTTATTGTGACTCTCTGAGCCAACATTTCCAAAGTTTTCACCAGCAAATATGTAGGAAGAACAATGAATTTTGGTGGGGAGTTGAGGAGAAATGGGAAAAATTTTGGCAAGCTTGCTTTTCTGTCTTCTTATCTGTTTGGCAAATTCCTGGGCTGAGCCTCAACACTAAATTTCTCTCCCTGCACATGGACAAACACTGAGAGAAAGACAAATGTGGGAAAAGGGAGAAGTAGAAAAAGCAGAGGTAAAAATGCAATGCCTGGGATTTTCAGAATGCCGACAAATATGTGGGTATCTATTCAGCTTCCAAAAATTATGCATCTTCTCTGATTCCCAATGCAAAAATGTGCACATGATTTCTTTGATCTCAAATGGGTATTATTCCCAATATCGTATTAAAGTCCCAATTTTTGAAATGGGAAAACGAAACCAATTTAAGTAGTGCATCAGATGCCACTTAAATGTTAAGGTGGGTCCACCCTTTATAAAATGAGAGAATTGGTCAAACATAGGCTACAGCGGGGTGCGGCGAGGCAACAGAGCCGTTAAAAAGCGTGTGGAATTCTATGCTGAATTCTTCAAGTTCTGACTTCATTCATGGGACTACTTTCTTTTATATAGATAGTGATTCCAGAAATAATGTCCCATAATAGTATTTCAGAGGTGCTCTTGGGCACAATAGCTCTAGATAGTGGAGATTAGGTAGATATTTGGGGTCTTACTTCACGGGCGTGTTATATGAGAACCTTTGCATCATCCATTTTGCTTCTAATCACGTTTTCCATTTCTGGTGTGTGCTTCCCTCATAACCCTGTTTTTATATCATAACGTTTGCTGTATCAGCACCCATTCTCTTTCCACTGCTCAGTTTTAAATAGCTTCATTATGAAAAATATAGTACTTAAAAACATGGCACAAATGTGTATTACTTCAGCACAAGATAAAGAGATTACTGAGAAGTGCACTGACTGCTGAAGTAACTTTATCCTAAGGGATATTTCGCTACTTTAATTGATTTTTTCTGTCCATTTTATTAAGAGTCCTTGGAGAAGGTAAATGGTAGGTTACCTCCTGGAAACAAAGGAACATTTGACGTATTTGTTATGACTACCAGTGTGTCCATACTTTTGTAAAGTTAAACATTTTTTTCATCATCATTTCAAAATTACTTATACTGATGAATAAAAAGATGAGGATCAGTTAGTTCCAACCCTAGATAGGGTGTACTTGAATTTTAAATATCTTGTGCTATTTCAGAGAATTAATCTACGTTTTACTTATTTATGCTAGTTAATAAATTGTAGTTTTGACAAAACTAGGGATTACAATTTATTGTATCAATTACTATTAAAACATTTTAAGACACTTTTTTATTTTAGCTTCACAAAGCCATCCTAGGCAAAACTGCATGACACTGTCGAAGGTCTTTAAGTGGCGTCTCTCACTGCTCTTAGTTATAAAAGTTTAGATGAATGAATACTCTTATAAATCAAAAAAGCTTATAAAGTACCCAGGCTGTGTCACCAAATCCCATAGTTGGTGTGGGCTCTGAATTGTGATATTCATACAAGTTCAGGAATAGTTAAGTTCCAACATTATCACTCCCACCTGAAATTAGGATACTGTAAAAAAAATTATGATGCTACACAATATGTTTATAAATCTCTGTTTTAGTCTATCAACATCGTTGTTTTCCATCATTCTCTCCACTTATACTTCAAGTAGTAATGTGTACAAATTAGGTTAACGGATGCTTTCAAACAAAATTTAGTTTAAATTTGTTTATTCTCTTTATAAACAAAGATAAACAAAATAAAAAGGATGAAACTATGAGACTTTCATGAGCCTCTTTAAATAACCTAGCTCTGTATCTGGGTGAAAGTGACCTACATCCACTGGACCATAGAACCCATCCCTCAGTGGGTCCTGGGGCAGGTATTTCTCACTGAGCATCCCTAATACTCCTAGCCCAGGTGCTACAGATGAATCTGATGCACTAGGATTCTTTTACATCAATGTTGGCTCTCTCTTACAAAATGTTTTCTCTTCTTGTAGCTTTCAAAACGTTCTATTCACATAGATCTCAGAAGATTCTGAAGGGAGCGCAACTTCCCTGTTAGCGTCTTTCTGAAGCTATATGGATTTCATTAAAAATAAAAATAAAAATAAAAAAGTAGGGAGTGGAATTCAGATTGTTTTACTTAATTGTCTTCTCTCAAAAAAGAGGAAAAATAGAGATAAATTAATTACTCCTCTTTTTAGAATAGTAGGAGTTATCTATATATAAAAACAAAGCAATTTAATGTTGGCTTGGTCATTTAACTTAAATACAATTGAAATGAGAATAAACAAAATGAAACAAACTGCTTTAATTGAACCTAGGTGGCTGGATATCATGCCTTCTCTTACATTTTTACATTTCCAGTAGTAGAAGATGTCTTATTTTGAGAAGCTAAATTGATCAAGGTCTATCATTTGAACAAGTTCCTCTTCTATAATAACAAAAAAAATTTAGGTAGTTCTAACTCTAGCTATGATCTACTTGATTTTTAAGTATAATTTTCTATTTGGGAATATTCAACATCAGTTTTAGTCATCTACAGCCATTTTTTGACAAGAATGGAGATTGCAACTTATTTTATGAAAATTTACTATTAAAACATTTTCTTAGTTTAACTTTTTCTGCTTTTTACATTAAAAACAAAAATCGAAACACTTATTTTTTTATGTTTATGCAGGCCCCATGCATTTTAGCTAATACTTACTTTTGACAATATCTAACATGTTGGAGTCAAATTATTTTGCTATTGGGGAGAACAATACTCTCATTTTTACCATGAATTGTTGCTTTATTGTTTGTATTCCATGGCAATGTTATACATTTTGAAGAAATAAATATTCTCTTCCTTTGTCAATAAGAGATCCACTTCATTTATTCCCATTTAGTTGTCTTCTCTTTGTCAGGATTTAGACTAACGAGAAAATCTTAGAAAGATCCTTTACTGTCTAAACACCAAGCACGCAAATGCTTCTCAATAGAAATAACACAAGAAATGCGTTCAAAGACAATACCTAGCCTGAGAAATTCTTGTGTGCTGACAGCTCTCCAACAGTGTTGTCACAGCAGGAAGACATCAGTTGAAGAAACAGATAGTGACCTCAAAAAAAAGTCTGGTCAGCAGTGTGGACAGGGTTTCACAAGATTATAAATCACCCCAGGGTCGCTCTGTTCCCACCATAAAGAGAGCATGGTCGTTTTATTGTAATCTAATAAGAGATGGGAGCAAAGGACAGCTCCAGTGTGTGTTTGCAAAAAAAATTCTTGATTACAGTTTCAAAACTATACAGTTTCCCTGCTATTGAAGTGCAGATTATAGGGGTTAAGGCCATGTTAGGATTGGATTACCTTTTTATAGCTGTATGTTATCCCTCGGTTCATGAATCAGAAAGTACTTAAATTAAACTGAACATTTGGGAGCAATCCCAGTATGTAGCATGGTGGTAGAAAATTAATCATGATTTTGTGATAGATTATTAAGCTGTTCATTTGAAGGGGGTCTTTCATAGAATCAGAAGATTAACTCTCTGGTGGGTATATAGTAGTACAGAAAAAAGCCCACCCTATATATCACAAGTTATGTTAGGACTCATTTTAGAGGGGAATGATTTAATGAAAGACAACATGCATTTATATAAAAATGTGTATGAGATCAAAACATCACTAGCAGATTTTCAGTTTCTCGGACCTTACTATTTTTTTTTAACTTGTATTTATTAGTTTCTATGTTTATTTTTATATAATACTATTTAACTTAAACCATGTGGTTACTAAATATTTTAAATGGGGCATTTTAACATGAGAAAAACTAACAATTCCATATTCGAAATATTTAGGAATAAAAAAATTACTCCAGTTAGATTAAGAGTTACTGAGGAAATAGTAGCCACAATTTTGAAGGAAAACTCTAAATGTGATGACATTTTAAAATAGCACATGCCTCTTCATTTGCCCTAGAAGCACTTCATGTGGTGGCGAAAAGGCTTTAACTTTATTCAGTCATTTTATCGTTTGTACTTAAGCTTCTTCAACACTATTTGATCTATATACATTTCTGGGACCATAATCAGGCATCCTACCATTTAACTAGATTTTATTCCCTAACATATTGCCTTTGCTTTGTCAGTTTGTTCCTCTGGAACCATGCTGACATCTCAAGATAAGTCCTATCAGTCTTGGGCTATTGACTGAATTTGATTGTGAAGAAGCCATCACTTAGAGTAGAGAGAAACAGGGTGAGGTGTTATTGCTAAGAATATACTTTATGTTATGGTTCTAAAATCCAAAAGTAAATAAGATGGGATTGGCAGCTCTTCCTTTTTTATTAGGCATAAGATAGATTTTGAGAGCTCTTTTTGTCTTGTCTTCTTTTCCCTTCAGGAGTCACAAACCTGGTAGTTTTGCTCTCATTTACTTTCTTGAGCAGAGATGAACGTGAAAGGGAATTCTGGCTCTCGAAGGATATTAGACTGGTCGGTTAAACATAGTGGGTCTTTAATTCATCTCAGTTTATTTTCCACTTGTCAATTTCTCTTTGTCTCTTCCTCATTTATATATGCTTAAGTAGGTGAGTAGACAGATTTCACTGTTTCTCTTTGCCTTAGACTTTCTCTAGTGCTGCTAAAAGCACTACGACAGGAACTGGAAACTGGAAATGATCAATATCCAGACAAGTTCTATTATTTTTTGAATATAGAAAACATTTGTGACTTCTACAACTTCCGTTGGCTGAAAGAACAAAAGCTCTGGGTGTCACTGCAACTTCAAGCTGCAAATGACCAGAACAATAGTACTCAATTTCTTATTCTAATTTACGCTAACTTGATTCTGTTTCCTATTGGCTATCATAAGAATTTTGCCTATATAAATAAGATAAATTTGATTGCAACCTCTCAGATATTTTCTGAATCTGTTAGTGTTGTAGGTGTGTTTCGTATTCTTAACTTTTTTACTACTTATGTTAGTAAAAGATAAATGAATATATCTACTTAAAATATTTGGTGATTTTAAGAAAGTAAGCTATTCTGATTTCCTATAAGTAGAAAACATATCATTGATCATTTATAGTGGAACTACTCCTCTATTTTTACACTCTCCCTAGGTAAAGCATACAAATTAATTCACAGCAACCACCATCTAACACTGGAATTTCTCCTAAGGCTAAGACTTGTGCACAACCATCTGTTTTACATATGCATTTTTTTCTTGGTAATCTTTATTACTAGATGGTCTCAAATAGAAAGTACATAAGTGCAAATGCCAACATGTATTTTTGTTAGTGGTGCTGAATAGACTGGTTAAGGTAGACAAACAAATGTACTTACTTTGATTTATCACTTCTGACATTAGCATGTACCATACTGCTCTCCGGGAAGCAAAATGGTTGCACCTGAGGACAGTGATATAAACACTACTTTGATTATTTGAAACAAACCATTAGGCTTTGATGAAAGAACTATTACCATGGTGGATCCTTTGCAGGAAGAGAATGCTTGGAGATAATGGATGAGCAGCCTAAAATTACTTGTTTAGAATTTAAAGAAGTCAAAGCCTAGGTTTGAGGAGGAAATAAGTATATAAAGCAAATTTAATTTTGTATAAATTTATACAGTTGAATTTTTATTCCCAGTACGTACTTAGTTGCAGTGACTTTCTTGTTTTAGATGAAATTTATCCAAATTAGACAAACTTATTCTAAAGTCAAATTAATTGTGTTTGAAAATTAAGTCCAAAGTCATTCTATTCTATTTTTCAAAAATAATTTCCTAAGATCAGGATTTTATTTATTTGCATCTAGAAACTACCATATGTTTTGTCTTACATTTAAACACACACACAAAACCAAGCCCGATGATGACTTCAATACATATTTATCTTATGTGATTTGTAGATGGAGATTATACTTGGTCAAAGCATGTATATAAAATAGAACCACAAACTATTAAAACTTCCCCAGTCTAAAGAAATTTTATTTAAAAGGTACAATTTAAACTAAAATATTTAAGTTTTTGAAGAGGTTAATGCTTTTAACTTTCTTACGTTAGTACATAAATGTGAACTGAATGTCAGATTAGACAACTTTACTCAGTATTGAAAAGAAAACTACTGGTCTTCAGATAACAGGATTTAAGTGAATTTTTGTGGGAGGGGAGTGAGGAGGAAGAAAGTAGAAAGGGGGTTTAGTGAGTACAAGCATGGCAACAGTATAAGCATAAGGCAACAGCCGTAGTGATGTCTGGATAAGGAACACCAGAAATGAACCTGAAAGACTGGGGGCCTTAGAGACCAGAGAAGCCAGGATGGAAGTGAGGAAGAGTGGGTTACTCAAAGATGGGAACCAGCAGGCTAAAAGGAAAGATCAAACCACAGAGGCACCATGTAATGAAGACAAACTCAGGGTTTTTCTTAACTTTGCCTTGAGCCTACCCTAAAGTCTGTGAAAAACAAAGAACATTTTAAATAGTCTGTCTTATTAAAATGATTTGCTTTAGAGATGGCACATTATGCTTACGCTAATGTTTCATGGTTGAATACATGCTTTTGTGCTACAAACCGTGGTTTATAGTTTAGAAAATATAAAAGTTGAAAAAGATGTTTAAGAACATTATTTTTTATTACCCTACTTTATATTTGGATGTCGATGGCACGGGTGTAACTGGCTTAATTCACCAATGAAGAAATGTAGGTTTCACAGAGGTTAAAGAACTCACTTAAGGTCAGGAACAGTAAGCTGTGGAGAGAGAAGCAGACACAGATCTTATCACTCTGTCCCGAGCCTTTCCGTTACCCTGTAACGCAGCTTAACACTTTTGAAAGATTGTGGTTTCCTGATCCTCAGAGTTCAAGTCTTCCTCAGAAGAGTTTAGCACAGAAAACAGTGCAAAAAATAAATGTCCCTATGTGATTTCATTTTCAGTATATTTCAAGCTAATTTATATATAAATCTTGTTCACAGAGGAGCGGAAAGGTGGCTTCTGTTTAGTAGCATTAAAGGCAATCAATTTGTGTTGCAGATATTGACACAGCACCTGAATTTACATAGCTCTGGTGCAGGACCTCTTCTTTACTTAGTTAATCAAAAGCTATCAGAAGAATTATAAATTTACAGATAACCTCAGGTAAATAGGAAATGATTTTATGTGATTAATAGCACTATTCTTTGTTATTGTCCACTACACAATGCAGTTGCTCTGAAATTCAGTCGCTGGTTTTCAAAAAAGGAGCCCAGGCGCTTGCCTTAATGAAGGATTTGCTATTTAATCTTTGCCTTAAAATTGTGAATATAGGAAATCCTAATCAGCTATATATTTATGACTTTTTCTCCTATTCTTTTCTCACTTCTTCAACTGGCATGCACAGTCTGAAGTTTTATTATTAGTGACATAAATTAAATTGTAAATGTTTAAAGGGCACTGTCACATTGAAGGTGAATCCAATGTTTTTATAAACTTAATAAGGAGCGTTCTATCAATGACCTTATTCTTCTGTAGTACGTTGACAATCTTTTGATGTAGTCCTCACTCCCTTGTTCTCAGCTCATTCTCTGGGTCTGCTGGCGCTTCTGCTATTATGGAATCATTTGCTGGTTGAATGAATGTTTTCTCAAGTTTGGAACTTACTGTGCAACCCAAAGATGCCTTACCAATTAGGTTGCACGTTTATTTTGTTTTTTGCCATCTTGGCATTGAAGGCTATATTCTTCAAATTAATGAAGGCCATGTTGTAATAATTAGTTTTAAGTTTCTGCAGCCAATACGTTATATAACAGGAGGTGATCTAGTTCACGGAGTTGTAAGTCAGTAGGTTGGCGATTCAGCCCCGCCTGCATCCCTGGAAACAATGATTGTAATATTGCCTTCTTAGATATTGGTAAGGTGGAACTAGTAAGCTGTGTTTAGAGGCATAAAAATGGATTTGCATGCTGGAGTTTGGACTCTAAGGCAGCAAAGTCCAGCTTTTTCTCTTCTACTCTATTTCTTTATTTTCCATCAAAAATCATTTCACATTTAGATTATCAAAGTGAGTCTAGAATGTTAGAATCCACTATCAAGATAATAATAATACTCCCACTCTCCTGGATGTTCTTAATCCTCATCCTAGTGGAATTTGAATGTCTTAGGAAAATCCTGTACATACGTAATTGTAAAGCTTTCGGAAGACTTTGGTTCAGGATTACTGATGCTTCCCTATTCCAGCTAATAGTAAATGAAGATTCACGCAATTAACCCCAGTTGAGCAGTCAACAGTTTGTGAGTACTTTCTTGGTCAGGCACTCTTCTGGTTGCTGAAGAGAAAATGGTTAAGAAAGTGGCAATTTCTGAGTCCTCAAGGATCTACTTCGGAATATACATATATAAAGATGTAAGTGAAATAAAATATATTAAATGCCCTTTTATATGTGTAGGTATGCATATACATATATAATAGGCATCATTATATATAATTAATCATATTTTATTTTACTTGTATCTTTATGTATACACAACTACATGCCCTTATGGCAGCAGAGGTAGTGGTGGCAAAACAAACCTCAGTGGGATGGCATGGACAAGTAGGGGAATGGGAGAAGAGACAGGTTATAGATGTTCCTAGGAATGCCATCTAGAGGAGGACCAAAGGGAGAAGGTACCAGCTGGCCACGTGAGAAATCATGATCACAGCCTTGCTCATAAGAAATGGTTTTGTGTAGCCTGGAAAACTGCAACCATTTTGAGGTAGAGTACTGGGAGAAAATTCTTGAAAAGTAGGAAAGACTTAGATCAAAGGAAGTTTCTTTTATTTGTTTATTGTTGAACTGATTTAATTTAGAATCATTAAAAAGAAACCTAAAATTCAGTGCTTATCAAAATAGCAATATGTCATACAGAATCAGGATTAGGAAAAGAAATGATAAAGTTGGCAAATATGTTTTATTTTGATATGTATATACTATATGCAACACAATTTTGTTGCTGTAAAATGTAACTTTTAATGGGAAGCAGTCAAATGGATATTTGAATACACATTTTTAATTTCCAGTTTTTAAGATGCAAAATTTGGAATCAGGATTGATATGCCAAAGGCAGTGGACTCAGGGTGTGAATTCTTTCCATCTCTTTAGCTTTACATGTGCATGGATACAGCTGTTTGCATGGTTGCCAGATGTTAGACTAGGGGCTTCAGGAATATATTCCATGTATTGGCTCCTTCCCAGAAGCAAAATATTATAGATTCTAATAATGTTCTTGAAATATAAATACAAGTTGTCTTTATTTTTAGACTTTTTTAGGTGTCAATCAGAAACATATTGAATAAATATATGTCTACCTAAAACCTGGTACACAAGTGTTCATAGCACCATTATTCATAATAGCCCAAACAAAATAACAAGCCAAATGTCCATCAGCTGATGAATAGATAAATAAAATGTGGCGTATCTATCCAATGTGTATTACTCGGTATTAATAAGAAATAAAGTGCTGATACATGGTACAACATGGGTGAACCTTGAAAACATTGCGCTAAGTGAAAGAAGCCAGCCACAAAAGACCACAGCTACATGATTCCATTTGTAGAAATTGACCAGAATAGGCAAAATTACTCACACCTAAAGTAATGATTGCCTAGGTCTAGGGATTGGGGTGGAAAGTGACACTTAATAAGTATGTGGTTTCTTTTAAGGGGAACAAACATATTATAAAATTGAACTTGGTAATATATAGCCCTGTAAATATACTAACATCATTGAATTGCATACTGTAAATTAGTGAATGTATGATAGGTGAATTATTTATCAATAAATCTGTGAAAAGGAAGTATATTAAATAGCTTGGATAAAGGAGTGAGTTAAATAATGCAAAATTATCACCTGTGCAGTTTATTTTTTATAAAATTCTTAAGTAAAATATGAGGACTAAATTAGTAAATGAAAGAGAAAACTAAATATGAAGCACATAAGACATTTAAGAGCATCTTTTTTGTTATTTCGTTTGAAATATGTTTAAACCTTTAATCCATCAATTTTGGTATGTGTGAAAATTAATAAATTAATAGCTCTCTTACCTTCCAAGTCAATCAGTGATGATTTTCCCATTTCTTTCTCCTGTGGGGGCCTCCTTAAGACTTCATTATTTGGGTCATTCTTTGAATTTAATGGCATGTTTTTTTCCAATTATGAAAATAAATTTTAAGCAACAGTATTAAAATTCCCATGTTTATGAAATGTATAAATAGTAATATCCTCAGCTTTAAATTGCTCAAGTCAATGATTGTGTTTGGACAGAGCTTCCACTTTATTGACTTTATGAGAGGAAAAAACAGAAATATTTTAGGACAAATTCCTCCATTGTGTAAACTACTCCCTGAGAGTAGTAAGGAGTGAGAATAACTCTTTTGATGAAGTAGTAATTGAAATAATACCCTGGGGACGAGAAAGAGTTATTTTCCAAAGCAGAAGAAATGATGTGGAGAATTGTAGCTTTAGCCAAAAGAAAAACTCTAGTTGCAGACCTAGGAAAAATTAAATATCATCCCTTCCCTCTCTCACTCATTCATTCATTTATTTTTCATTCATTCTGAACATACTCATTGAGTCCCTGCCATGTGCTGGGTGATTATTACTCATGCATATTACTCTGGCAAGAATGTTTCTTTTTCTTACTTATCATGTTTATGTGACATTCAGCAATTAATGGGGCATTTTTTCAGAGTATTAGGGAAAGTTCCTCTCCATCTCTTCCTTAATTTCAGTCTGTCAACTTGTTTAAGGACATATGTTGCCTTATTTTATTTTTTTCATTTTCTGAGTACTTATTTGATGTTGAATATAACTGAGTCCCTCCTGACTCATCTTTTAAATAATAATAATACCAATAATAATATAAAATGTTCATAGTTATTACGTAGATCAAATTTAGTGATTAATGTGTAGAGTTTAAATCTTGGCTCATTGTAGACAGCAAGTGACAACTCTGTTGAAGAGTCTCAACGTAGGTAACACATATTCTATATTATTTTTTAAATTGAATATAATATAATTGTATTAGTTCTTTTATTACATGGCATGTGGCAAGAGGTTTGAAGAATTGTGAACTATTCCATATAGAAAAACATTAGTAAGCTATTTCTCCTTGATATCCAGTAAATTAACAGAATTTACATAACAAAATTTGGCAAGTGTTTGATATAATTTCTGATAAATACTTAGCCTTGTATTTTGAGTGGGGGAAGTGTATTTCAATAATTATGCATTATTTTTGCAGATAGTAAAACGTCAAGACAAATAGCCTTCTTTTGTTTACTGATTTGAAATACTTTCATATGATCATTTATCATTTAACAGTGCTTATCTTATAACGAGGTTGTCATTGAAATAATTTTGGTTTGTTTTTTTTCAACTTTATGATAACTTGGCTTGAAATGCCTTTTCAAACAATCAAGAAACAGATAAATTTTATCTACAATTGCTTTCTTTTAGCCTTATGTTTAATGCTACCTTTGGCTATCTGTGATATATGCTAAATGACTTTCTCGCCTGTTCCATATTTTAGATACAGGTTTAACATCCAGAAGTACTTCATTATATGATGATTTGGATTGTAATACCAGAAATAAAAGGAAATGTATTTCTCAGTGCATCAGTGAAAAAGTTTAAATAAGTTAATCACTTGTCTTTATGAGGCCTTTCATTTCATAGCTCGATAGCTCTCTAAAGTTCCATTGTCATTTTTTAGTATCATTATGTGCATGCATCTAGAAACAGGAGGTTTAGCTAAGAGATGAAATCCTTTTAATTTCCACTCTGAACACATTGACCCTTTCCTTTGTCTTAATAATAGAATAACTCTGATTGCTGGATATTTTTAACGGAAACAAAAGATTGAATAATTTTGCTGTCTTATCTTTACAGCTTGCAAAAGGGGGCATTTTAATGAAAGGGTTGCTTTTGTTTATTATGAATAACTATGGAATAGGAAAAAATAATTTTTTGAATATTTTATTTTTTAATTTATGAACACAGTTAATCATACTCATCTTTATAGAAAATAATGAGTCAGGGCATGCCACCGCTTTTGTGTTGGTGCTGTGTTATTTTACAGGATATAGTCCCTCAAAGGTACATTTTCTGTTGAATTTTAATAGCTGTGAAGCCCTAAGTTCAAATCTATGTAAATACATTTTTCTTTATTCTTTACTAATAATACGTTATTTTCAGATTATGATTTTTTTCATTGTGGAGAACTGTTAAATTATTAATAATAAAAGCGAGAGATGTTTTGTTTCTTGTTTTGTGTTTCTTTAGTTCTCTCCCTCTTTCCTTTGGTATCATATAAGGTCCTAGTGAACTATTAGCCACTTGCTCCAGCATGGAGATTTTGAAAAACCCTTACGTTTTAACCTTCCCCTTAAACTATGGTGTCTAAAGTGACAGGTTAATTTCAAATTCAGGTTTGATTGAGTATATGCCACTTTTTACATGCTTTCCAAAACTAAAATAGAGCTGTCTTTAGAAATTTTTGTATTAGGAAAATTAACGCTAATCGAGGAAAGTTTGCTTTAGTTAATTCCCTTTCCACATTCATTGCAACTTTTGGGAAACATGCAGTGTGTTCAACATAATAACATACACGAGATACACAAGAATGATGAGAGCCCAGCAGCAAGTGCATCTAAGGAATGCTCATCTTGCACTTTTGCTTAATTTAAGAAATGTATTAGGAAGGAATCTAAGAAAATAAAGACATACTTCATTTTACTTTTACTATATTAAAGGTGGCACAGGTGTTAATCCATGTAATATTTTGCAAGATCTTATTTTGAACTTTTGTGAGTATCTCTGTTCACTACAAATATAGTGGAAATCACATTTCCTTTTCAATTATATTATTAACTTATTTAAAATGGGATAGTTTAATACATGACACTAAAAGACTCATAAGCACATTTAGAACTAGATTTCATTGAAATTGTATGTGTGTGTGTGGTTTATGTGGATGTATTTATATATAATTTTGCTGGTTTCAGTGTCTTTGTCTTTTCTTTTCTTTTTTTTGATGGAATCTCGCTCTGTTGCCAGGCTGGAGTGCAGAGGTGCGATCTCGGTTCACTGCAACCTCTGCCTTTCGGGTTCAAGCAATTCTCCTGCCTCAGCCTCCCGAGTAGCTGGGACTACAGGCACACACCGCCACGCCCAGATAATTTTTGTATTTTTAGTAGAGACAGGGTTTCACCATGTTGTCCAGGATGGTCTCGATCTTTTGACCTTGTGATCCGCCTGCCTCAGCTTCCCAAAGTGCTGGGATTGCTGGTTTCAGTTTTAAGGAAGAATGTGAAGTAGATAATACTGCAGTCGTTTAATAGTTATCAGTAGGGAATTATTAAAGAGACTGTGGATATCTTAAATGCTTTATGATGATGGCATACAGGAGCAAAAATGAAAATTGTATATTGTTTTAACTTAAAAAATAGAACTGTACTCTCATCATCTAAATGCATAGACCTATAAAGAAAATATATAACTAATGTAGGCATTAGGCATTCCTAACTTATAGGTGTAGAAATTAAAAACTGAATATTTTGAAGAAAACAGATGTTGCCTACATTAAGGGGAAAATTTTAAATTTAAAATCTTAGAATTTAAATTTAAATTTAAAATCTTAGAATTTAAATTTAAATTTAAATTTAAAATCTTAGAATAATCAAGCTGAGAAGGGACCTCAGGATCGTGCACTCCACCCAATTTGCAGATGAGAGAACTGAGGCACACAGGAGGGACTTTGAAAACCTAAAGGAGAGGAAAACTGTGTAGTAGTTGGATCATGGGTGGAAGTGGATAGAGTAAGTCATTTTTCAACCCTAGTAAAGCAGAAAAGAATATTAACACTAAGTCAGTTAAAAGGAACTAAGCACCATGTAAGAGGATTCACCTACTAAAACCAATGTTCACAAATGGGAGAAGTAGGCAAGCCCTGTTGAATGCGGCTATCATTCCAGATACTTCAATCAGGAGTCTATAGAGTATACCTCCTACCATGTCCACTTATGAACTTTTCCGGTTAGTCCTGGCTTTCTCATGCTGCAACCACTTTGCAGTACAGCTAGCTGTCTTATTGGCCTCTGTTTTTGTCTAGAGCTCTGCTATTTAGATAGGTAAGGTTGTACTTTGGGTTTTTTGTTTTTGTTTGAGATATGATTGAGGGTGTGATGAGGTCATAAGAAGAGAATTACGAAATATCTTTCTCCTTCCCATTTTGTTCTCTGTTTTGGTTGTTCCAGTCTAATATACCTCTCCTTCCACTTTTGTAGAACAGCTTTTAGAAGATGAATGACAATCCTATCCTTTCTCCGTGGAAGTCATACTAAGAAAGTGGTTTATTACAAAAGATTTCTAATGCTCTTTCTACATGAATGTGGATTTATAACTGTATGTTGTTTCTTCTTGTGATTATTTTTATTAGACTTACATTTCCAAAAATATATATTAATATTTTAATTTGACATATACCGAATTCTGTTTTTTTAACTCATGATTTAATGCATTAGTCTAAAGCAAAGCCATCCAAAGAATATTATGTGAAACTTAAAAGTTAAAACTTCAAAACCTCTAATGCATTCCTTAGCACTTGGAATAGATTCAAACTTCCTACCATACTCTACAAAGCCCTGGTCAAGGCTTTAGATAGACTCTGTGGCATCTTTGGAAATTGGAAAAGTCATCTCATGAGCAATCACATCTCCTTGGTTGCAGAAGGGTGCTGCTACTGTCTTTGGATGCAGAAGACCATGCCTGTCCTTGTTTGGATACTAGGATAATGGTATGGTGATACTAAGATAAGGGGCTGGACTTCCTTGAAACCCCTTGGCAGACCCAGCCAATCTCTCGGGCAGTGCAGTAGATGCACTGGACTGTCTGGTATTTCTCTTTCTTCCATAGAAACTGTGCCCCTTCATATCATTCTGTGATTAATTTCGGCCCCTATTCTTTTTTTTTTTTTTTTTTTTTTTCGGTAGAGGCAGGATCTCCCTATGTTGCCGAAGCTGGTCTCAAACTCCTGGGCTCAAGTGATTCTCCCACTTCGGCCTCTCAGAGTAGTGGGATTACAGGAGTGAGCCACTGCACCCAATACAGTCCTTTTCTTTAGGTGCCAGTTAAATGAAATGGAGCCATTTCTGGTCCATTCTAGCTAATGTCATCCACATCTTCTCCCCCGAGTACCCTTTGTCACATTGTGTTATATTTTTGTTTGAGTCCTTGTCAATATCTGAAATTATCTTACTTGGTTTCTTAGTTTTACCTTTTCCTCATTTGTGCATGAATTCTTTTGAACAAGGACTTTGTTTTTTCACTAGTGGATACTTAGTGCTAAGAATAAGAATTAATTTCTTTGTTAGAAATTAATGTTCCTTGAATGATGAAACAGAGCCTTTACACCTTCAATTTGCTCTTTTTCTGTCAGTAGTGGAGAATGGAATGTGTACATTCTTATTATATTATTGCTGGTGGAAGGAAACATTGGTAGAGACAAAGTCATGACCTCTAATCCTTTCTTACACCCACTAGAAAAATACCATGTGATACCATGACCATGAAATAGACTTCCAGCTACAGACTGTCAATCCCAGACCAGGACCACATAAAATGAAAGGAGAGAGGCTCCAATGACACTCTATTAAGTTCCATGCTGGATATTTTCCATATGCCCTTCCAGATCCACACTGCGTCTTTGCCCCTCGGCTTTGCTCTCTGGGAGCCAGATTTTTATGGACTGCCTTCTTGGCCTACCTTACCCTGTAGCTTCTGGATGTGTTCATTCTATGCAAAGTGCCAGCTGGATATCAGGAGGAGAGAAGTAGGGGAGAGTGAGGTCAGGACATTTAATTCTCTTCCTTCCTTCCTGCTGCCTTAATGAGCAGTGGCTTCATCCCTCTTCCAAAATACACAGTTCTTGCAGGGAGACTTTCCTATAGCTTCAGCTCCATGTTCCAATTGCAGCAACTGGTTGATCTCCTCTCCCTTTTAGGCCTCCCACACCTGGCAGCCCCAGGATGCCACCTTCTCTTTTATTGGTTTACTTCAATTCTGCTGATACTTTAGCGAATACTCCCTACATCATCTAACTCTCTCCAGTTAATAACATCTGAGGGGCTTGTGTTCTCTATAGAGACCTTGATGGATTCAGGTCCCTTCCTGGGAGTTTCATGATTAGCAAAGATGTATTTAGGAAACTAGAATGAGAATCTAAACTGAAAATGTGCTTTGGGAACTTGCTATATATTGATAGACACAGAATAGCATCCAAGTCAAAACTAAGCTTCTTTATTGTCCACACTCCAAAGGAGAATCCACTTTCAACTAATGCCTGTATTTACTTTACCTTTTTGTTTGTTTGCTAACTGGAAGATAAAAATATGTTTAGAAATTTAGTGGTGAATATTAGCTACGATCCATGCCTAACCTGGAGGATGGACTGGGCAGTGCAAGAGTAGAGACAAGATGACCAAATAGGAAGTGGCTTCCTTGAAGAGGCAAGTTATGATGGTGATTTGGACAAGGGTCACAGCCCCGGAGATGATAATTAACAACCTACAGTGACTTCTCACAACAACCAAAGTAAATCCAAAGTCTTTATTGGGACTTTCAGGGCTTGCATGGCCTGTCCTTTACTGTCTTCTCCAAATTCACCTACCATCAAGCTGCATCCGTAATAACCTATTCTCTGGTGTTGCATTCACTGAGCTCATTTGTCTGTTTTTTCATTATGCAAATCTCCTCTTACCTCTTCAGAGTGACCTTCACAGACAACCTAGTGAAAGCACACTTGCACCCAGCATACTTTCTATCAGGCCACCCTGTTTTCCCTAATTATAGCATATATTTCTTTTATTTTCTTGTTTCTTATTGCCAAACATTCTAGTTCCTTGAAGGCAGGACTCCACTGGTCTGTTCTAGCACTGTTCAATAGAAATATTGTGTGAGACATAAATGTACTTTGAAAATGGCTGGGTGCGGTGGCTCACACCTGTAATCCCAGCACTTTGGGAGGCCGAGGCAGGTGGATCACTTGAGGTCAGGAGTTTGAGACCAGTCTGGCCAGCATGGTGAAACCCCATCTCTACAAAAATACAAAATTAGTGGGGCATCATGGCGGGTGGCTGTAATCCCAGCTACTTGGTAGGCTGAGGGAGGAGAATCACTTGAACCTGGGAGGCAGAGGTTGCAGTGAGCCGAGATCATGCCAGTGCACTCCAGCCTGGGTGACAGAGCGAGACCCTGTCTCAAAAAAAAAAAAAAAAAAGGAAGAAAGAAAGAAAGAAAGAAAATATTTAGTAGCCACACTAAGAATGTTAAAAGAAACAGGTGAGATTAATTTTAATCATATATTTTATTTCCTTAATACCTTAAAAATATTATTATCTTAAGATGTAGTCAATATAAACAAATATTCAATGAGATGTTTTACTTTCTTTTCCATAGGAAATCTTTGAAGTTCAATGTGTCATTTACACTGATAGCATGTGCCACCCAGACATTTCAAGAAGTCACATTTCAGGTGCTCACTAGCTACATGTGACTAGCTGTTGCGACATTGTTGAGTGCAGGCCTAGTTCCCTGGTGTGTCCCTAGAACTACCAACACCTAGAGAAGGGTTTGCCATTTTCTAAGAGAACAATAAGTATTCAATAACTAATACATCAACTGGCAGGATCACATTGTATCTTGACATCTTGGTGTGTGGAGCTGTAATGATGGCAAAGAGAACCAGAGTGTTGTACTTGTAACAGCACTCTACACAACTTACAGTCCTGGGAGCTGGCATATGGGCCATCCACAACTCTATGACTTGGACAGTTCCACTGATCTGTGCCATGGTTTGTCCAATCTGTGGAGTGATAAGGTTGAACTATTTGATCTTCAATGTCATTTCCAGTTCTAACATTATATATTTCCTTTCTCCTTTATATGTCTTATTTTTAATAATTTTGTTTTACTTTATTCATTCATAATTTTTGTAGACGTATGCTTCCATTTCTCTTTTTAAAAAACTTTTATTCTAAATTCAGGGGTACAAGCGTAGGTTTCCTACACAGGTAAACTTGTGTCATGGGGGTTTGTTGTACAGGTTATTTCATCACCCAGTCATCAAGCCTAGTACCCATTAGTTGTTCTTCCTGATCCTCTACCTCCTCCCACCCTCCACCCACTAAAAGACCTGAGTGTGTTGTTTCCCTCTATGTGTCCATGTGTTCTCATCATTTAGCTCCCACTTATAAGTGAGAACATGTGGTATTTGGTTTTCTTTTCCTTTGTGAGTTTGCTAAGGACAATGGCCTCCATCTCCATCCAGGCTCCTGCAAAGGACGTGATCTGTTCTTTTTTATGGCTGCATAGTATTCTATGGTGTGTGTATATATATATATGTGTATATATATATGTGTGTATATATATACACGTGTATATATATACACACATATGTGTGTGTATATATACACGTGTATATATATACACACATATGTGTGTATATATATACGTGTATATATATACACACATATATGTATATACCACATACCACATTTTCTTTATCTAGTATATCATTGATGGACATTTAGGTTGATTCCATGTATTTGCTATTGTGACTAGTGCAGCACTGAACACGCACATGCATGTGTCTTTATAATAGGATGATTTATATATATTCCCAGTAATGGGATTGCTGGGTCAAATGGTATATCTTCTCTTTTATTTTTCTTCACATATTACAATCTTGCCTTTCCCCAAGAAGTAGAGTCCAGGCAAAAATGGGATAAAGGGTCACATGCCCCTGATCTAACAGCTTCTCCTTATATCTGTCACATTTAGCAAGATAGTGCCATTTCCAAAGAAACCCCTGACTGTGTTTCTGTTGCAAGTACATTGTATTATATTTTCCTCTTTGATTGTTTAGCTGTTTTAAAAATTTTGTTAATTTTAAGACAATCTTAGTTTTGGTTAATCTGAGCTTATTTTATTTTATTTTATTTTTTTTTGGAGACGGAGTCTCGCTCTGTCGCCCAGGCTGGAGTGCAGTGGCGCGATCTCGGCTCACTGCAAGCTCCGCCTCCCGGGTTCATGCCATTCTCCTGCCTCAGCCTCCCGAGTAGCTGGGACTACAGGCGCCCGCTACCACGCCCGGCTAATTTTTTGTATTTTTAGTAGAGACGGGGTTTCACCGTGTTAGCCAGGATGGTCTCGATCTCCTGACCTCGTGATCCGCCCGCCTCGGCCTCCCAAAGTGCTGGGATTACAGGCGTGAGCCACCGCGCCCGGCCTCTGAGCTTATTTTAAGACCTGACAAAAATGTTAACCTTCTTTTATGTTGACATAGTCTGTAGTTCAAGGTTATGCATGTTGAGCATTCAGTATTATACCTGTCACGTGAAATTTTGCTTATATCATTTATTGAGTTTTAATTACTTGGGAAATTGTTAAACTGTTTTCCTAAAAAAGGACTTGAAAAATCACTCAAATCAGTGTTCCAAAAACAGTTCATATATTCCTTATCACTCTACTCTTCAATACCTTTTTCAATTATTTTAAATTCTGAAATGCCCAGTTGTCTTTCTTTTTATAAATGGCTTTAAATGCTATTACCACCTTGTTTGAAAATGTGTTATTTCACAGTCTGCATCTATATGTAAGAAAAAGTGCTTCACCAAGTTAAGAAACAGTGTTATTTTAGGCAATGGTAATAATGAATAACACTGTGCTTGACGCCTGGCTCTCGCTCAGCTACTCCCCCCGCCCACCCCCTTTTTTAAGAACAACATGAATACTTTCAAACCCACACCTAGAAAACAGTCTGTGGTGGTTTTTACTTGGGCAGCTTTGTTTGCTCCAAGGAATATTTGGACATTAGCATAAAGGTTGCACATGTTATACAAAGTGTAATTAAAGAAGCTTTGATCCCCAAATGTCAACTAGCTTGCTAAGTGTCATAACAAAGTGTCAAGCATCTGGTATACAGTTAATTTGTAGTCATTAACTCCATATTGTTGATGTGACAGTTTGTTAGCAAAGCAAGCTTGACGGTTGCATTTTGTTCTTGATTGACACCTACAGACCTCCCCACCCGTTTAGTTTACATTCCTGTTGAGGTTTCCTCAGGTTGCATTTTTACTGCTTAATTTCCCCCAACTTGTTAGTTGAAGTGCTGGCAAACTTTTAAAATCATATGCTATGTTAGTACAGAATTTCAAACTCCTTCTCTAAAATGTTCTAAGTTTGCAATAATGCTGGAAATGAAAAAAAGCTTCATGATCTTTCTTCAGAATTTAAAGATTTCTTCAAGTAATGTGACAACACATGCATTATCCTGATGCATAATTGTCACAAATAACATATTTATAAGACGACAATTGCTATGGCAATTAATCTAGTCAACAGTAATTTCTTGTACAGTTCCATTAATATTTCCACTTTTCAAAGGCTCAGAAAACAGATAACTGGATACTTCATCATATTCTTAATTGCATTGATTTAATCCAAAGAGTCCATTACAATCTAATTTCAGTCCTTTAATGCTTTAAAATTTTAGTTGTATTAAATTATCTGCAACTTGTTTGGTGCCAGGTTTTTACCACTGTTATTAATAGAATCCCATTTAAAAATGTTTTATAAGATACTTGATTTTTTAAAATATTATCTCTTTATACCGATGTTACAACTATACATGCAGCATATTACTTTAGTAAATTATGTGAAGGAAGAATTAAGTATATTTTCACAAAGTATTCTAAGTAAATGGATGTAAACAATTTATACTTATTTAATTCTTATAGGTTGGGTTGGTTATGTAGCTAAGCTAAGAAACATGCATAATTTATAAACTTGTACAAAATTGTGGCAGCAACCAGAAAGTTTCATTCACTAAAGGTCATTCTTAAAAACTGCCCATTTGGACAAACCAGACTTTATAGACAAGCACAATGAAACTGCTGATGGAAAGTTTTTACGTTTTTATTTGGTTAATCTAGCTTACTTTCTGCCAACAGATAAGGCCAGTCACTACATTTGTTGACAGGCTCATAATCAATTTGTTTGATTACTTACATTAATTTTATCCTTTGCCCTCAAATAATTATTCCGAGACTACAACATCACTGTGGAGACACTCCTTGGCTTGAGGGCTTAACGTCACCATTTAAGCCATCATTTTGCCCCCAAATTGGCATTTCACATTGGATAGATATCTTCATCTCTTTAGGCTTTGGGTCTCTTGATCCATAAAATGAGGTCACTACTAATGTCTTATTTTTTTTCTAACTCTAAAAATTATGATTTTGCATGTTACTTTACATTATTATTGAAAAATGGCAATCCCTTTAAATATTGATATGACATGCCTCATAGAACTTGTGCTTTTGAGTCTTGTATATATTCGCCTAGGTGAACACTAGTCTATTTATTAGATGACTTGCATGAGAACTAGTCAAATGAGATCATATTATAGGTTTGTTCTTAAACCTATTCTGTGCTATGATTGCTTTATTTTCCCAGTTGTACTGTCTTTGAGCTGGAGGAGGAGAATACATCCTCCCTCAGAATGAAGAAAGGCAACCTCATTAGTGGAAATATAGGTAGGCATCTGTGGATGGAGTTGATAACGCAAGTCTAGATGTTAGAGGAGTTATGGGAACTGCAGCTTGAGTCTGAACTCTTGGGTCTGACTCACCTGCATTGATCACTAGCTCGATCACATCCTAAGAACTTGGGCAAGTGACTCAACACATAGGGCCCTCTGGTTTCTTTATCCTAAACATAGAATAGTATCTAACTTGCAAGACTTTGTGATACTAAATAATTTTATGATTATGGGTAAAATGTCTGACTCTTAGTGAGAGCTCTATAAATAATAGTTCTAACTACTAAAATAGTAAACTTGGGTTACTTTAAAGTTCAATTTAATCTCTTCTTCTCTGTGAAAGAAAAATAACATAGTAGGTACTCAGTTAATATTTTTCAATGAATAAAGTCCATTATATTTGTTAGACCATTGTTAATATGTTTAAGATGCTAGACATATCAGAAAAGATTTTAGTATAAGCCATGCATGAAACCTATTGGAAGAAGAATGACTTAGGCAGTGATGGTATGAAAGGGCAGTGATGACTTTTCACATCTTGCAAAAAGCTGGGCTTGGGGCAGACCCAAGCAATTTGAGGCTGCCTGACTGTGCTGTTATTTAGCACTTAAACTTATATGGAATTGTGACTTAAATACCAGTCACAGTTTAGGAGATGTAGATATTTGAAATATAAATTTGGTCATGGGGGTCAGGATAAGTGCATTTGAGGTTTTTTCCTTTTTTTCCGTGGGACACAACATTAGCCTCTTCTTATTAAGAGGAATCTCAAGTTAAATAATAGCATATATTTGAGTAACATATAATAACATGTACAGTGCACATTGATTGGACATACATATTAAACGCTGGCGTTAATTGGAAATAGACTTTAGGGAACTGTTAATTTTCCTGTTGGTACTATTTTGATGTGTTTCTGATGGTGCCATTTTGATGTGTTTCTGATGGTGCCATTTTGATGTGTTTCTGATGGTGCCATTTTGATGCCTCTAACCACCTTTGACCTGTCCTCTAAATACTGATTATAGCATAAAATTTTGGAATAAAGGTAATGTGTCTAATCTGAATTCATCAAGATAAGAATATAATTCTTTTAAGAGTAGAAGTTGATTAAATACAACTGAAACAACAATTAATGTGCAGAATTATCCTCTAGTTAGACAACAAATAGACATGAAAATAAAACATATCAGAATGTACTGTGCTGATACATTCTGTAAGGGAGACAAGTAGACACCAAGGATCATGGACAGTTCAATTTATATCCTTCAGAGTGGAAACTTTTTTTATTAAAATGCAAACAAAACTAGAGCTTTATGCTCTGTATTTAAACATATATTCTTTGAGTTTAATCCATTGAAAAATCTATTAATAAATCATAAATCCAGAGTAAAAATAAAAGATGTGGAAATAAACTGTGATCCTTAAAATTAGTAGTGGGAGCACAGTTTTAAACAGCTGTAGACCATTTTAATTTGTAAGTCAGTTTTTAAAAGATTTCAAATACATGACAGAAAAAAAGTAAAGTACTAGAGAATAAAAATAGGTAGAAGGAAAGTTTTTCAGTTCATTCTACTTTAACTTATAAATACATAAGATAAATTTGCAATAAAATAATCAGTTTAAAAAATGAACTGCTGGTATAGCAGTTTCCCAATATATTCTTACAGATATTAACTTACATTATCCTCACATGTAGATATTATTAACCCCACTTTACAGAAGTAGGAACTGAGGTTCAAGATGTTTTGCCAAAGGATGCTCCAGTTACCTTCATGTTACTTGCTCTCTGCACCAACATGGCAGGTGAAACAGCAAAGGTAGAGAATGAGGGGGATATCCCTGGCTTGAGGAACCCAAAGCCTAAGTATACTTAATACTTATTCCAAGAGTTTCTCCATAGTTTCCTCGTGTTGAGTTAAATACTCTCCAAGATGTCAGAGGTTGAATCATTAAATGATAGAATAGTAGCAAACTAGTGGTTTGTAGAGGTGATGCAGCTCTCAGAGAGCTTTATTCTTTATTAGTTCATAAATCGTGATGGAAAAATCACATGGGCCATATCTAACATCTGGAAGTTGTACTAATTTCAGAAAGTATTTTATTTCATGAAAATCTATTTTAAAAATATTTAATCTGTAATATGGAACATACATTTTATATTTTTAAATAACTACTTTTTAATTATTTTAATATTTCACACTGTGATAATTTTGCTTAGATCTTCCTGGAGAGCAGTAACACTAGTCTTAAAGAAAACATTTTATGTTTGTATATGTAATTCAAGAATATCAAAGGAATCTATAATCTAAATTTTGATGTATTTCACTGGGACAAAATTAATAAATTAATAAGAACCTTTACTTGCCAAATATAATCAGATATCTTAGTTAGGGATAGAACTGGTGAATTAGTATGGAAGGGAAGTGAACTATTTCTCTTATTGTCTTCAAACCAATATTTATAAAATATTCACAGGATATTATTGAAAAAAAATGTTCTGGTTCAGTAGAATGCCTCTCTATGCTGATTTTCCTGTTGAGCTGGGATATTGGTAATCTATACTAATGAGTACAAGAGCCATTGCAGATTACAGTATTTTGGGAATTAGCAACTAAGCAAAACACACAAATTAAAGAATCAAGGGCATCATAAAATGTACTGTATCATAAAATCTACTTGTTCATTTATTTTGACAAGTGTAGTTTAATTTAAATTATTTATGGTACTGTGTACTCCACAAGTAACTGTAACGTAGTGCATTTTGTTAAAAATAATGAAGTTGAAGCTATATGAGCTTTTAGATATCATTGTGCTAAAAGATTAGAGCAATCAATCCATTTTTTCTTTACCATTTCTACAGACTTTTCTACACACAAATTCATAGTATTCATAGTATTTTCTTTTCCTATTCAGCCACCTGAGTTCACTGTATATCTTGGCAATTATTTTATTACTTATACTTTAATTAGTGAATTCTTTGGGAATGAAGTTTTTCATAAAATAATCCATGTTAAAATAAATGAAATCTCCCACTAATCTAGTGATTTGTTGTAGGTGTTCACTATTCCACTAAGTTACATTCTTCCTGTTAAAGTTTACAAATTGTAGTTCCATATGACAAAAATATCTCTTTGCCCGTACTCTTTTTGTAAAGTGTAGTGTGATAGTAAGGACACTGCTTTGGCATTAGATAAACCTGAATTCAACTCTTGGCCTCATTCATGCTATTTAACCTATCTCTCAGCTGTAAATGGATTAATTCTTTCTAAGTGATAACGTTTTTGTGAACTAGATAAAAACTGAATTATCTAGTACAGCGCCTGGTATTTAATAGTCTCTCACTAAGTTGTGGTTGTCATTATATTAACTAGTGTTAACCTCTGAAAATTTGTGAAATTGGTAACATTGGTCTTCAAAATCAGCTTTCTCTTTCTACATTTTTGTATGTTGTTTTCTTTCAGGACAGTGATTCAGTTCTCTGTCTACAGCATACACACACACAGCATTGTCTACTATGGCCTTCCAGAATACCAGAAAAATATTTAACATTCACCACACCTGTCTCAATCTCTTTTTCTTGAGGACTCTGAACTTTCGGGAATTAACACTCAAAAAGTGTGGTGCTTAAAACTTTACCTGTTTAGCTTCCTTTAGAACTGAGACCTTCATATTAGTTAATTTTTGATTATATTATTACTCCATCCATTGCATCCTTTCTACCTCTACACTTATAAGGCCCAGTAGTTCTGGTATTGAAGAATTATATCATTTGAGCACATACATTTGCTGTGAAGTTATTATCAAATAAGACTATGTTCCATATAAAAGGCAACACTATCTTCTTTGGAAAAAATAAGAAATTGATGTTACTATATGCTTAGCAGCAATTACATTCATTTAAAAAAATATTCCTTATATGTTGGGTAGAGTTTTTGCTTAAGTTTTACTTATTAATTTGTGGCACCATTTTCAACTTAATTTCAAAAGTGCACATCTTAAACACTATTAAAAGATTCTAGGCTGGGCATGGTGGCTCATGCCTTTAATCTCAGTACTTTGGGAGGCCGAAGTGGGAGGATCACTTGAGCCCAGGTGTTCGAGACAAGCCTGGGCAACATGATGAGACTCTGTCTCTGCAAAAAACAAAAAAGTTAGTCAGGTGGAGTGGCAATGCCTGTAATCCCAGCTACTGTGGAGGCTTACCTGAGCCCAGGAAATTGAGGCTGAAGTGAGCTGTGATCATGCCACTGCACTCCAGCCCAGGCAACAGAGCGAGACCCTGTCTTTATTTTCTTTTCACATATTTGTTTTTTGTTTGAGGTATGTTATAAATACCTTTTCACATGAAAGATTTAGATAGTCATGAAGTTATTACTAAGAACCAAAATGACAAAACTTTATTAAAAATGTAACAATCATCCATTTTATTCCTCCCCTATTGAAACGCTTAAAGCATATAAATGGTCTATGCTTTAGAGAATCCTTCAGAATTACACATATGTCAAGAAATCTAATTTGTATGCATCAGCTTTCATTCCTGTGTTTGTGTTGGCTTTAAGTAGCAGCACAGCTTTTAATTGTGAGGTTTTAAGTTCTGCAATTAAAATGTACCCTTTTTACTAGGAGGGTTGAGTGATAGTTTTTGATTTACTTTAGACAGTTTAGACAAATTATATTTAAAAGAACATAAAGATGCACAGAGCATTTCCTGATTCAGAGAAGGTCAAAGTGTCTTACTTGCATTTTTTGAAAGTTTTACCTTGAATAACTAATGATTCTTCTTACTGTATTGACTAAACTTCTCTAAAGACATACAAGCAGGATGTCAAACTGCTTTAAAACATCAACTTCTTTGAAATCAATGACCAAATGACCTTGAACAGAATAGGGAACATGATATTTTACATCTCATGATGTTTTATTAAAATTACTTCTATGAAGGATGCAGAAATAGATTACATTAGTGCCTCCAAAGATGCTTATATTTCTCTTTTTATTAGTTATGTGTTTATAAAAATAATGAAAATTCTTTGCAAACTACTAGAAAATTTGTTTAGAGCTTTGATCATAGCAAAAGTGTAGTAGAAATTCTGCAGACAGATGTTTAATTTGATCAAGGGAGACCATAAAATGGATAATCCTGGTCAATAATGAAAGTTGAGGTCACAGAAACAGGTTTGTGGAATAATGACCACAAAAAAATCTCATGGAGACCTTTGAGAAGAAGCACAGTAAAGAGGCATTACAACTATGAAATAGAATTTAAATTAATTCCAAAAATTCTGGGGATATCTGTGTAAGCCAGAAAGAAAAGCATTTCAAAGACACAGAAATATAAAAGAAAGCAATTTAAGATCTGCTTGGTGTAAGTGGGTATGGTGAAGACGTTGGTCCAGGTTGGGTGGTGATGTCAAGGAGAGAGTAATGGTCAGATCACAAAGAATCTTATGTGTAAGGATATTAAGCAGGGGAGATGTATAATTCAGGTTGTAATTCTAGACTAAATAAATTACTCCGACTACATTATTTGATAAGGTTGACATTAACATCAGGAAAAGTAATCAAGAGACAACTGTAATCGTAGAGGCTGCAAATAATGAGGACTTTTTAGACTAAATTTACCCAGGCAGTGTCAATTGGACATAGAAAATTTGGTAAATCCAAGAAATATTTGGGATTTTGAAGTGAGAGATATTGCTAAAGTATTTGGATAGGAGTAAAAATTGGCATTTGGATTAATTTTTTAAAATATTTTTACTGTATCTGTCAATTTTCAGGAAATCAATTACCAAAAGTTGATATTAACATCGATGTGATGTAGTGACCAAAGATACATTATTAGATTCCTATTTCTAGAAATATGTCTCAGCAAAGGCATAATAGCTTAAAATAAAAACTTAATTTGTTTTTTGGAATTAAAGCAAAATAAAAATTTACTTGGACCAATCTTAAACCACACACTCTGTTTTCTCTCTGAGTTTGGAAAGATTTATGAAGTTGCCCAGTTGTTAATGGCAAATAACAGCTGCTATTTTTACATATTGAGGATTTTTTTTTTTTTTTTTTTTTGCAATCTGTGATAAATACTGACAGAACGTTATAAAATGACAGGGGCGAGGGAAGTGCGAATGAACTGGCAAACACAAGCTTCCACTATTTATTTTAATCTCACTGAAACTACAGTACTGAACTATAAATATATTAGCAAATAATGTTATTGGCATATTTTTGTGTTGGATATAAACATGCCATGTTGGATTTGTTTTTGGACATAAAACTACCATTTTAATAGACAGTTGTTAATATAGCACAAATATTACTTGTGCTGATATGAGGATGCTGATTTAACTTGTTCATTCTGTTCTGCAAAAGCAGGAACTGCCTTGGGCAAAACTGCAAAGTGCCAGAAGTTCCTCTCTTGGGCTTTTCTTCTCATTCCTGGAACCCACCTATGCCCCGGAGTTGAAGCACTGTCCCTATTTACTTCCCTTGTGTGCAAGAAGCCTATGATGGTGTTCTCACCATATTACCTATATTGTAATGTAAACTCATCTCTATTTTATAATTTTTAGATTCATAATCGGTTGATGAAAGAAATTAACTAATTGTGGTATGTTAATGAAAAAGTCATGACATTTTGGAAGAACTCCATCACTTTGGATCTAATTTAAATAAATCACACTCTCCATGGAGATCTTAGACTACATAGAGAAGTAGAGTGATACCATGATAAGTTAGTGAAAAATATTTCACGATAGGTAGGCCAAAAGTAGACTAATAGTATTGTGATATAATGATGAGCTTTGAGAAATCTGTTCAGGAAATTCTTCATAATATGTAACACTGCTTAGATTTAAATAATTTGATTTTGATTAGAATGACATTAACAAGTACTGATATGTAACAGGTACTTAATGTCTGAATTTTTGTACTTAAGTCTTTGTGCTTAGGGTACTTATCAGTGGCTGACTGCCTATAAGGCAAAAACATTTAAAAATAGAATACAATTTTTTCTAGTTAAAAATAATGGAAAAAAAAGAAATTGTCAGCTTATGTTCTCTCACATTCTAAGTTAATTTTGTGACAAGTTCCATTTTCCCAGGGTATAACATTAATGCCACATATCAAAAGGAAACTGTATAATTCTGTGCTGTGATTGTCGAATGGCTCATGGAAACTACTTAAGTCTCAGCAAAACACTCTTGATTTGTATAGCTAAACACCTGGGAAATTTAAAATAATCTAGAACGACATTTCCTCAAATAGCCTCAGATTTTAATAAATGAAAGATTTGAAGAATATATCTCTTTAGGAAATTGTCCTTAATTATCTTTTGATGAAAAATTCCACAAAGAAAATAATACAAAAATTATAAAGAATTTGGCCAGGTACAGTGGCTGACGCCTATAATCCCAGCACTTTGGGAGACTGAGGTGGGCGGATCACCTGAGGTCGGGAGTTCGAGACTAGCCTGACCAACATGGAGAAACCCCATCTGTACTAAAAATACAAAGTTAGCCGGGCATGGTGGCACAAGCCTGTAATCCCAGCTACTCGGGAGGCTGAGGCAGGAGAATCGTTTGAACCCGGGAGGTAGAAGTTGCAGTGAGATGAGATCATGCCACTCACTGCACTCCAGCCTGGGCAACAGAGCTAGATTCCATCTCAAAAAAAAAGAATTCAAATGAATATTATTATCGCATTTCTTTCTCCAAGCAAATATAAAAGCTGTGCTTTGTATCACTGTTAAAATAAAACCTCCTCCTAATTATTGCTAAAATATTTGTCTAATTAAAATACTAAGCATTTTCAGAAGACTCTAACGGTAAACCAGGGGATTCAGTGCATTTCAGTTCTATATTTCTGACATTTACAAGGATGACAGACAATGCAAAAATAAAATGTTATGTGTTTTCCTCAAAAAACAAACCACAGCTGGTGGGTTTAATTTTATTCCTACCAGCCGTGACAGCAGGCTTTTTAAATATTGAAAGTGTGAATTAAAGCTTCTGCAAAACAATTGCCATATAAATTTCCTTAACCACTATGAATTACATATGAAATATCAAAAAATTGTCCTGGCTTAGCTGGGTTCATTTTTAAACATAATGGGAATAGAAAATGTTGACTCTTTTGAGGCAACCGAAACCTCCCAGAGAATGTAGTTGAGTGTTTGCGTCTCATAGATTTTGGTGGTTGTCCTCAAAACCATCAAGAAAGTAGCCATCAAGATTCCCTCCTTGTTTTCTAGTCATGTCCTGGTACTTTGATGATAATTGTATACAAATGTATAAACCTTTGTAAGGTTATTGACTCTTTACAATCTAGCTATCTGATGATAAAACTTTCTCTGAAATTAAAAATATTCTACGCCCCATTTGGTTCAGTGGCTACTGACATGTGAGTATTGAGCACTTGAAATGTGGCAAGTATAATTGAAGAGCTAAATTTTAAAATTTACTTAATTTTAATTTAAATAGACACATGTAGCTATTGGCTACTGTATTGCACAGTGAAGATCCATAACATGAAGGGTACAATACTGTGTTCTGTGTTCCAGAGAAGACAAAGCAAACAAACGTGAAATACTTCTCATACGGTAGGTAAGATAAGATATAAATATGTAGGTAAATAATTAATAATACAAGTCAGGATGTTGAAAAAGATTTTAGATAGACTAAACCCCTTGAAAGAACATATTGAAGCAAAAAGTGGGGAAAGATCAATTCTAGTTTATGATGGAAGAGAAAGGTTTATGGAAACAGAAATGTAGACAAACTTTGACTAGTACCTTAACAGGTGGAGCTAATGGCATTCCAGAGGGTGGGAACTTTGTGAGCAAATGCAGCGCTTTGGCAAGAAGAGGTCCAATCATGTAGCTAATGAGTAATAAGATTTAGCTAGAGGGTCAAGAAAGAAGAGCCTTGAATATTGGCTAGGGCCTAAATACGGTAAGCAAAGAAGTCTTAAATATTTAGTGGACATAAGAGAATCAATCTCTAAAGATGTAGGGAGGTGAAATAGGAGGTTATAAAGTGGCCCAGGAGAGAGGTTTGATGCCAGAATCACACTGGTCGCAGTGGTAAGAGAAGGAAGATGATGGGGAGGAATGTCTTGGGTGCATTCTCCCATAGCTGCTGTCTCCTATAGTAGCATGTATTATGTATTTCTTCTCTGAGACAAGGTCTCACCCTGTTGCCGAGGCTGGAGTCCAGTAGTACGAACATGGCTCACTGCAACCTTGACTTCTTGGGCTCAAGCAATTCTCCTGCCTTAGTCTCCCAAGTACCTACAAGTGCATGCCACCACGGCCAGCTACGTTTTAAATTTATTGTAGAGTTAGAGTCTTGCTATGTTGCCCAGGTTGGTCTCTAACTCCTGGGCTCAAGCAATTCTCCCACTTTGGCCTCTCGAAGTGCTGGGATTACCTATGTGAGCCACTACACCCAGCTTTGTAGCATATATTTTTAAAGGGGAAATAAAAAGCCAATCTGTTCCTCCTGTACACCTGTAGCCTTCTCAGCATAGTACCTAATTATATTTCATAGTGGTTTATTTTCAAATACCCAGTCCTAGGCACAAACACATGACAAGATGTCTAAGAATCTAGCAAGATCCAATGCCTTAAGGCTTGATTTTAAAGAGAGGAAAGAGAAGGTGCTGAGATATCAGCCCGTTTTCATTGCTAGATTACATTGATAGTGAATAGATGGGAGGAATAGAAGGGAAATACAAACTTACTATTTCTTTGTGAGCTGATTTAAGCCTGATTCCATGTTTATAAATTGTGAGAAAACTTAAAGCTTTTTCCACGAAATAAATGTCTAATAGGGTCATGATTTTTTTCTTCATAATTTGCTTTCGAATGAGAAAGTTAGAAAATTTAAGTAGAGACTTCAAAATATAAGGGTAAGTTGTCTATGTGAGGAATATTTATTCATATATGTAGTAGTTACAATTGTTAAGCTTGAGAAATTTGCAAATTTACAATCATGGGCAAATGCTTGAACTTGGTCGCATATAAACAAGAATATACTTCGGTTTAAAATTTGTAAATATAAGTTTTAAAATGTTCAAATAAAGAAGTGACAGTTCCAATTCTTTAGTAACTATCCTAGTTAAACGCATCAAAAAATATACATGAACAGTTTACTTGTAAAATGTTATCATACTGTTAGAGAGGGTGTTTGTTAAGAATCTAGTTGTGTAATGAAATTGCTAAACAGGATGTTAAAGCACTACCAGGAATCTTACACATCTTCAGCATATCAGAAATCATGCAAATGTTGGGCTCAAAGTTTTAGTTTGTTCAAAAATGCTTTCAGATATTAAATTGGTATCTTGTTCCCATAAATACTTTTTATTGATGTGCCTTTGTTTTAGGAACATTTCAAAATAGGACTTAAGAGATTAACCTTAATATGTTCATACACTTTGAAATTTTACCCACAAGTTATTATGACAAACATTTTGTATATAATGAGAAAAGTTTATTTTCTATAAACGCTGGGTAAATGTTGGAAGCAGAAGGACTTTGTTTTTGCCAACTGTTTGCTTAAACCTACACAATTAAATCACAATTATTACTGCTTCTCTGAACAGTTTCTAAATTTTTGGTTCACATATTCCTTGGTTTGTAGATGTGTATGTGTGAGCTTTTAATACAACCAAACTTTTAGCATATCTATAATCACTACAGTCGTTTTGCATTTTGAGTGTGTTTGTCTCATACTCTGAAAACAATGGTATATTTTTTATTGCAAATTAATTTTGTTTTCATTATTCACAAAAGCCTGCAACTCTTTTAGTTATTAGACCTTCTTTGTTTTGATTTAAACATATCCTCTTACTAAAATTGTTTATATTCTTCAGTTTATATTAATATAAAGAATAAAATTTTTGTTTTATTTTGTTTTCCCTGGATGGAAGATTTACACATACTTGCCACATTTTCTGGTTGCTCTCTGTTTCTGTTAGCTTTCATCTTCAAGCTGAAATTTTTCTAATTCTTTGTCTTTCTTTCAGTAATTTAATTCCACCAGAACAGATTAAATATGCTTTATTTATATTAGCATATAAATTAATAATGATTCAAACAATTATTTAACAAATAATAGAAAAAAGTATTAAATGGATTCACAAACCCAGTTAGCCACTGCTTGTGACTCAGATGCTGATAGCCCTATTTCTCAAAGTTATTTTTTCTCTCATGTTTCTAGGCTAAATTTAAATCGATCCTGGAATATAAGAAAAATAAAGGATGGTGAATATTTGCTAAAAAAGCAGACAATCTGAAAGGATTAAAATGCTTTAATCAGACAGGAAAAAAAAAGGCTCTGGCCACTTGATTAGGGCTGATTTCCACCATCTGCTTATACTTACTGAGGATCTAGCCCTGACTGAACACTAATTTGTGCACTTCCTAGAAATTGAAATCTCTCAGCAAGCAAATTAACAAGAGCAGGGATTCAGCAATAATGGAGCTCCTCGGCTTTTGTTTCTCTCTGACAGATGGACAGGGTGCGCTCAAATTGAATTCAGCTTTAATTGCATTGTGCCATTTAAAATTTTATCTGCTCCACAGATTTTGTTTACAGGTTTCAGGATTCCAAACCTTTGGAAGTTTTTTTTTTTTTTTCTTTTTTCAGTACTGGGCAAGATAAAGAACATTGTAATTCTGTGTGACTGGAAGGTGTTCATTACAACTCCTTACCCTGAAGGGTGGCACGTTAAGAAAAGGAATTATGTTTTAAAGTCTGGGGCAAATGGGAAACAATTCAGACTTTGCATATGTTCAAATATTAGCAGCTCATAAATAAAAGTAACCAGAAATGCTCTGTATTTCATATCTAAATAAGAAAGCAATTTGCCTTGTTTCAATTAATGCGTTTCAAACTTTGCCCATCAGTGTATCACTTGGAACCGCGAACTCCTGAATTCTAGAGATAAACTTTTTTGTAAATGAATCATGATGTTCTAAAATTACTTTTAGTTTCTGCTTGATTGACAGTCTTCAGATAGAACTGACTTACATGAACTGTTCTTTTGAGCAGAGGTATAAAATACTAAATCATTTAGGCATGTCCTAAACATTCCTGTGAATCTAATGCTGAAGATGCATTTGTTGCAAAATTGCTTGTCAATCTACAAGCATTTCCTCATAAATCTATGGCTTAGTAGGTACTAAACTCTGACATTTCTGGTGGCAAACAGAGATCCTGAGAGCTTGAATATACCATCATAAGATTTGATTTGCACCCTATTTATGTGAAGATTGAAGACTTTCAGCTATTGAGCACCTTTCCAGGAAGGACTGAATTTGCTTCACATAAGGCAAAGAGTTCAGCCTTAGGAATTTAGGGATGGAGGACTTCAAGGGAAAAGAGTGGATTCTCCAAAGTCTAGAAACACTGCTGTGTGCTTGTCTGTAAGTTACATGTGTATAATGCACACTGTAAAGGCTTCTGAAATATTTTATTTACTTTAAAATACATAGTTGCTATTTGTTTATATTGTTTTATTCCATAATTTCCTTCCATTTAAGACTAATTTGTTCACAGGATATTAGCAATGTGCAATGTCTCCTCGGATATGGCAGAGTATTTTTTTTATTGTTGCAGAGATTTTTTTTCAAAGGGACTTTCTAAATTATTAATAATAATTAAAATGATCAAAGAGCGATATCTGAGGACTTCAAATTAGCCGCTGAATCCTATTAAAATACCATGTAGATGTTTGGATAAAGCAATTTCATCCTAGAAAACAGGCTTACATTTTATCATAATGAGTCATCTTAATATTTTTCAGAGGTCTCAGCTAAATGAGGATTTGAAATACTGGTTAAGTAATCAAGTGTAGGTGTTGTAGAGAACATCTTAGTTTTATGAACTTTAGGAAAATCTCTCCTGATAATTCTTCATATGCTGTACCTACTTTCTTTATAGGCAGTCGGGAGAGAAAGTGTCTGTTGTAAAAGAGCAAATGTTATCACTACACTTAAAAATCTAGAAAGAAGTTCATCTAAAATTTTTGGCTTTTCATGTTTTATAAACAGGGCTTCACTGAGCGGTAGAGAGTGCTGATCTAAAAACTATACTTGCTTCCCAAACTCTTGTGTTTTCCCTTGTGTTTGTCAAATTGTGTTTATTTTATTCTTTTTAGTGCTCCGGCTATTAGATTTCTCAGCTTTCTATTCCCCTTTGCTTCTTTGCAACCATTGGAAGCTTCTGTGCCTTATTTTAGTTCCTTTCTCAGATGTTGTTCTTAGAAAGAATTAAATTTGTATATAATCACAGTGTTTGAGAGCCGAATGGAACCTTAGAGATAGTCTTGTCCAACTTTCGCTTTTTATAAATGAGGAAACTGAGGCCTGGAGAGTTCAAGCAACTCACTTGAGGCTAGCCTGTGTGTCAGCGGAAAGGCCAAAATTAAGACCCAGACTCATGAATCTCGTCAGAGAGAAATTTCTGGAAATACCAAAGAGTTCACTCCCCACCCCACGTAACTCCTAGTGCAGTATTCATTCTAAACATAAATAGAAAAAGTATCCATAAACTGATCACTAATAAAATAGTGTACACACATATAAGACACATGAACAATCAAGATTTTTTCCATCCGAAAATGGAGATATAATGATTCCTCATTGCCAGTAGTCATAATGCCTACTGCATTTGTAACTCAGACCCATATTTTTTCCTTTTGGCTCTTCCAAAATACATTCTGCACCTATGCCATAAGCATGCATTTGTAGATTCATAGCTTCAAATTTTGGCAATTTGCAAAACCACATGGCCAGATTTGGGCCACTTCTACTTAGTTGGGAATTCCATCATAGAAATGCCAGTCAGGGTGCCGAATGAACCTACTGTTCTTTTCTTGCCAACACAGTGGTTGAGAGCCGGTATGTGCTATCTGTCTCGGTTTTATAGTCTGGTACAATAATGTCATTGCCCCATGTGGCAAATGGTGTAAGCTATTGTAAAACTGTTTGTCTATGTGATTAAGACATTGCTGCAGTGTACAGCACCAGCCAATTACTTTTTTAATTTAATTATAGCAGAAAAAAGAGAATAGCATAATAGAAATTCTTGTCATAGGGAATATGTAAAACGTAAATTGAAGAGCCATGAAAATTTCATGCATTGGCAGCCAGATTTGTTTTTATTTTCAACTTGTTATAAAGACTGCATTTATTCAATGCCGTAAAATAAGACATACCAGCATTTAGTAATTACTTAGTTCTACATCAAAATAATTATATCCTGTATGCACTTGTGATCTCCTTTACTGTATATGAATGTACAAATAAACACTTCTGGGCCTGTATCAGTTTTTACTTTTAGACAGTGTAAATAAAGCTGAATCTTCAACTTTCAAATTAAAACTGATAACCTTGGGCATTCAAGGCTTTTATAAAGGAAGGGGGGAAACTTTAGCTTCCTCAAAACAGGTTGTGTCTCTGGAATGCTTCTGGGACTAAAGAGATCAATTAAGTGTGTATAAACAAACAGTTGGAAAAAAGCTACTAAAACAACAGAGGAGAGAGCTCTCTATTGGGCTCCAGAGGCCTGGGGGAGCGAAGTTTCATTAACTGGATCTGAAGTCCTATGGCCTTCTATAAACAGGCATTAATTAAAGAATGTAAAAAATAAAGTTTCAGACCTTGCAATATGTTAATGATCATATGATTCAGGGCCTGGGAAGGAGAAGAGCAGCAGAGGTCATAAAATAAGCATGAAGCATTTAATATGAGTGCTTGGCAGGGATTTCTGCAAATTAGTTGGTTATTTGCTGGTCCAAAGCAAATTAAGGTGATTTTGCTTCACTTGCTAATTTTTTATGTGCATGCTTGGCAAAATGTTTTTCACAAATGGATGAAGGTTATTGTTAATGGCATAATGAGAAATATTAACATATTTAAATAAACTCCAAAATTCTGACATACGACACAAGCATGCAGTTTTTATTTAACACAGACATTGAAATTCTATTAGGATCTGAAGATGGTTTTAGACGAAATTATGGAAAATACTCAAGTCATATTGTTTGGGTGTATGAATGCACCTTAAGTACTTCTTCATATGTTTGCATAAGAGTTTTTGAAAAAAAATTATAGGTAATGGATATATATATATATATATATATATATATATATATATATATGTATGTAACAAGTTCTCTTTAAAATCATCTTTCATAGTTCATTTGCTTGATGCCGGAAAGGGGAAAAGTCAAACAGATAAAAGCATATCCCAAGAGTAAGATACTAAATTTAGTCATTTAAGTCTGCTTATGGTGTTTGGAGAGGTGACATTTTTGAAACCCTGGATTTGGAGACACACAGCCTGCTTTCTTTCTTAATTTACTTTTCTATACCTATTTTTATTTTAATTTTGACCAGGCTAAGTTGTTCTGTGTTTATATATTTCTACTTGGTTCCCCTTAAACGGTTACATTTCATCTGGGGACTTAAAGTGGAGTTTAAAAATCGGAGCAACTTCTCTGGAAAACTCTTTTGAAATTACAGTGAAACTGTTCTGTCACTTTAATTACCATGAAGTTGCACAGAAGTACTGAATTTGGCAACAGATCCTTATATAGAAGGAGGTGCTGGAGTAGGATGCTGCTATTGACATTGTTCTGTTACAGCAATTTTGGATGGACAAATTGCAGTTGAGAAAATTTCATGACTCGGTAAAATGAGCAATGATGACATCTGTGGATGCGGGTCTGTTCATATCCTTGCAGAGCCTTTAGGGAAATAAATATCTCGGAACATTCGGTGAAGTGAAGCTCACTCAATAAATCAACCTGACACAATAACACTTCTGGCACATGAGCCCTACTTCTCCTCAGCACCAACTACCCCTCTGTGTTCCTGTGCTACCAAATGGTGTCTCCCCATAGGCCTCTAAATCAAATCATAGCACACAAATACAGTGAGAATTTATTGGGAATTGGTTTTGTTCGGCAAAAACATTACTTATTAGATGAACTGAAATGATAATAAATTTTGACCCTTTAAGGACTGAGCCAGTTCAGTCAATGTACTGTTTGATGGAAGGCATCTAGAATTATCTTAAGGGTATCATCTTACCATGAGCTGTTTTAAGTTTTATTGGGATTACTTTTCTAATTTTCAGCTTAATTTTTTTGATCACATCACATGGAATGTACTGTCTGCAAGTACCACGTTTTCTTTTCTAAATCCTTCAGGGTGAAACTGGGACATTTGTTAGGAATATTTAAAGTAATGAGCAAAAGCTAAAGTGCGTGTATATTAAAGCAGCTTTGAATCAACACAAGGTAAGTACAGGGTGGTTCAAAAATTACAATATGCAACTAAAGATTTCTACCATTATTAGTAAAATGATCATACCTGAGTTAACAAAGTGAGAAAGGAGAATATTATCATTAATAATATTAGAACTATTGACACATACGAGAGGATTATGTTAACTTAGGTGTATTTGGAATTTCTATATGTGAAAAAAAACAAAACAAAGAAATATAATATTAATATTTCTTACCATGGAGAAATAATAGCTGGTTTCTATTTTTATTATTTCTTTCACTAGAGATAGTAGTTAACAAAGAGGATCAATAAGAGAAACCAGTTTCCTAACCCTAAGTGTCCGTAGATGTCCTTGGGAAATAAAATATTTTTCTACAAGGCAAAGTTTACTGGTGAATTTTCTAATTGAATATGTTTATATGAACTGTCCAGCTTACAAATTAGTACTATATATTACTTGTCTTTTATACAAAGTGTGTGATGTGTCTCTATGTGATTTTCTTCTTTATGAGATTTTCTTTATGTGATTTCCTATCATAGGCCTTATAATTAGTTTGAAATATAATATTTTTTGTTTGCTTACCGGCCAAGTGAGACACTTTTTATCATAAACATGCCTTGGGAGATGTTGGAAATCTTTCTGGAGGAACAGTGTGTAACCTTAAATCATTCATTAAACCAAAACATTATGGCATTTCTAATGGGAATTACTAATACTGAAAATTTGGTTAATAGTTTAAAGCTTTGTCACCAGCCAAATTTGTAGAAGTGATAGTATAATATACTATGTGTTATTGAAAAGAAGAAAAGTAAGATTTTTATAATAGCTATAGGTTTATCTGCTTATAGTTTTGATCTATAAGGAATAATTCCATTAACTATTTTTATCCAACTGCAAGAAATCTGAAGGAACCCTTAATTTTTCTTTAAAGAAACCTTTAAGTTTTAATGATATTCTGGTACAAAAAGAACAAGCACTATTATTCTAACTTCTTTTTCATGAAGAAAATAATAATACCTAAAGAATTGAGGCCATTGTGAAGTCACTTGCAGAATTAGTAAAGTTGAGTGTTATAAAATCCAAAATCTAGAAGAGATTTCTTAAAAGAAGCATGTTCAGTAATACAAGGCATTCCAGAAATAGAGTTGCTTGCTTCCTTCTTAAAGCTCTTGGGAAAACAGAAGTCTACAGCCTTGCTTGGAATGTTCATGTCTCATAACGCTCTCTTAGATATATTTTTCGTAAAGATTAGCCCAATTTCTTCTTGCTATACATTATTCATTCTGATAATTATCTATCACCTAAGCACCTACTGCATACCACTTACCACGCCAAGCTATGTACATGCATTTTTTTAAATTTGCTCCTTCCAACAATATTGCAGGGAAGATATTATAGTGCTCACATTAGAGATGCAAGGTTAAAATTAGATGAGGTTAAATACTTGATCAAAGTTATACGTCATACAAGTGGCTTGGAAAGTATATTTGGCCGATTTCAAAGTCTGATTTGTTTTGTTTTTTGTTTGTTTGCTTTTTCTCAGTAGCACATACTGCCCCTGGACCATTGATTGCCCTATATCAGACATTATACTAAGTGCATAGAAAGGTACATGATATGTTTTCTTTCCCTCATTTGGAGGAATCTGACTCCAAATAAATGATTTCAGTGTAAAATGAGAATGCTGTGGGATTATAGACAAAGAGTTACCAGCCCTCCCTCGAAGAGATGGAGAGCCTTAGGGAGGAGCTGGGAGTTGGACCAGGTCATGATGTTTAAGTACAAGGCAAAGGAGAGGAACGAATCCAGAAAGTAAACATGGTTCACTGTGGAAATATCAAGAAGTTCTGTAGGTGAATTGTATGGAATTTGGGAGAAGCATTAAGAAGTGAGATTTTTAAGTTAGAAATGTGAATTTACTCCTATCTTTACAGCGTTCTTGAAGTACTTGAGGCCCATTAGTGTCATGTCTTTAGCTTAAAAAACAAACAAACAAAAAAAAACATTTTGTAAATGCTTTGATCATTTTTCTTCCTAAGTGGAGAAGCAAATCTAGATATGAGCTTCTAAATTAGAAATAGACTTTGCTGAAAATAGTGATATTATCTCATTTTATACTCTTATTTATGTTACTCAGTAACATAAAAAATTAACTAGGACTTCCAATAATGGTTTATTGAAATTTTCTTTTAACCATTCTTTGGCTATGGTTTGAGTATACTATATTCTATGTATATTATTTGTTAGCAAGGTTTAAGATATGCTTAAGATTATTGGAAAATAAGATCTTGTACTCTATAAAGTAAGGTTTCTTTTTAAAGGGCATTAGTTTTTTGTTTTTACCTTTCAGTTAAAATGACAGGAAACTAAGATTTTGTACTTGAATGTCAATTCGAGGGTTAAAAATTAGTATAAGGAATTCTGCCTATATTTACCTTTTAAAAATAGTTGCTTGTTGGGTGCGGTGGCTCACGCCTGTAATCCCAGCACTTTGGGAGGCCGAGGTGGGAGGATCACCTGAGGTCAGGAGTTAGAGACAAACCTGGCCAACATGGTGAAACCCCATCTCTACTAAAACTACAAAAATTAGCCGAGCATGGTGGCACGCACCTGTAATCCCACCTGTATGAGAGATGAGGCAAGAGAATCACTTGAACCCGGGAGGTGGAGGTTGCAGTGAGCCGAGATTGCGCCATTGCACTCCAGCCTGGGCGACAAAGCAAGACTCCATCTCAATAAATAAATAAATAAAATGGTTGCTCATTATTATTTTTAAAGGAGATTAGTGGGTAAGCAAACCAATGCAACCATGACAGAATATTTGATGTGGAGACACCATGTTAATTCACCTAGGATTTGGTTAGTCCTGCCCTGGCAAGGCCCTTTTTGTGTTGAATTGTGAATAACTATACATATGGGAGATTGATACAGGAAAAATGGGTTTGAAGGTTTACAGGAATCTGACTTATTGAATATGTGATTGTACATCTCATTGACTCAGTTTCTCATCTCTAAGTTGAGTTGACGGAGAGCATGGGCTTGGACAGGCTGGGTAAATATCTAGACTGTGCCACTGATTCTCAGACCTTGGAAAGTAACTTAACTACTTTATACCTTTTTTTTTAAGGAAAAAATGGATAATAATTGGACCTAATTATAGCATTAAACACAGCAAAATGCCTGCCCCTTATAAAGTCTCAAAACATATTGAAAAAATTATTAATGGAAATAAGGAGGTTTTAAGACCAGAACTGTGATTTGGATTCTAGCTCCAGCTCGCCCTCCTACTCATTAGCTGTACGACCTTGGTCAAGTTACTTAAACTTTCTAAACCTCAATTTTTTTCACTAAAAAAGAGATTACCGGCTAGGCATGGTGGCTCACGCCTGTAATCCCAACATTTTGGGAGGCTGAGGTGGGAGGATCGCTTAAACCCAGTAGTTTGAGACCAGCCTGGGCAGCATAGTGAGACCTCATCTCTACAAAAAATAAAATTAGCCAGACAAGTGGCACATGCCTGTAGTCCCAGCTACTCGAGAGGCTGTGCTTGGAGGATTGCTTGCAGCCAGGAAGTGGAGGCTGCAGTGAGATTGCACCACTGCACTCCAGCCTGGGCAACAGAGCAAAACCCTGTTTCCAAAAAGAAAGAAAAAAATAAATAGAGAGAGATATCACTGGGTTGAGAAGTAAGTAAAATAGATGTTCACATACTTACTTCCCTTTTGTCTTCAATCTATAGCAAGGAATCTGGAGACTTGGAAGGAGGGAGATTGAAATGAAAAGGGTGTCTTAGAATGGAAACTTAATTCAGATTCTTCCATTTTGAAAGTCGCTGAAGAGTCTTCTACCACTTCTATTTTCTTGAGTCTCAAAGATATAGTTAAGCAGCTTTCGACTGAAAATATTAGAAGTTCAGTTCTTCAGTAAATACATGTTCTAACATCCTTAAAGTATAACTCAAAGATAACTGAGAATTCTGGACATTTAAGTAAAACTGCTAACTAGTTTTACTCTTTTTCACAATTTCTGCTTAACTATATGCTACTTTTGGAACAAGTTAACCAGTGTTTTGTTATGATTGTCATTATTTCAGTTAAAACTTTAAAAATGTATTTTTCTTAATATGTTTGATACTTCTCCCATTGAAGAAGTGAATTTAGTTGAATTGAAAGAGGCTACCACACAGGTTAAAAGCTGCTCCAAAAGAGAGGACCTTTACAATAATATTCTTAGGAATATAGTATTTTGCAGCTCTCATATTAGTCCACTGTAGGCTACTTACCTCTTTCTTTCATTCTGTCCTCTCCTCTTTCATGAAGAGTCAGGTAAAATTAATGTAGGTGCTCCTAGCTCTAGTGACCAATTACTAATATTTCCTCCCAACTGAATGTGGCATATTAACACTGAGAGCAAAGAACTTAGTGTCTACAAAATAAAGTTAGGGCTAGATAAAGTCGAATGATGGCCAGCCACCACTAAGAGTATATGCCTCCTTCTAGTGGCATGCTCAGTTTCCATTTAATAGAGGGTGATATTGAACATACAGTGACCACGGATTGATCATATACAAACATCTGACCAGGTTGAACTCTCAATTTAACATCTCAATTTTAAATTTTTACAAGTTGAGTTTGACAATATTTTTTGTTCACCCTGTATTGTATAAAATTATTTTCAGAATTTATTGTCTATTATCAAAACTAAAAGTATCCTTTGACTTTGAGGAAAATAGGAACCGTTAGCCACCATCTTCAGAATAATGTAAAGGCTGATTGATAATCATCCATCTTGTTTTTTTCCTGCTGTCTGGATTCCAGGGGTGTGTGTGTGTGTGTGTGTGTGTGTGTGTGTACAAAACACTTATTTTAGAACTCACATTTCCTTTAAATACACAATTTGTTCTGCTTTAAATTATACTTAATTATTTATTTCTATCTACATCACATTTTGCAAACTAGAGTTGAGCTTAATATGTCATTTATTCAGAGAAATTTACTGGGCGGAAAAGTTAGAGTAAAATGCATTGGGTTGGGTTATATATGAAATGTTAACAAGTATTAAAGTGGTCTCAATACCACAATCCGGTAAGGAAGCAAGATCTACAGGATAAGAAGCTAAGAAGAAAAGTAATTAAAAGGAAGCGACACAAGAGGAAATGCAAAGACATACATCATCATGTACCAAATGAGTGATACAGTTAGAGTGTCCCTCCATGGAAAAGAGGGTGAGCTTTCCGTGGGTTGCTGAGGTGGCTTTGGTGGAGAGGTTGCTAGCTAGAGCTAGACTTTAATAATACCAACCTAGACTTGATTGACCAGCAAATATGTGAAATGAGCAAACTATATTGGAGCTATCTGCTTCTTTATATACTTAAACAAGTTGTAGTTGGGCAGTCATCAAAATATACTAGTTTTGATGAAACTTTATTGCCCATCAAAATATTATAATCCCATTTAACTGTGAATTCACTTGGAAGGTTAGTACTTTTAAGAATAGTTCCACACTCAGGCCAGGAGCGGTGGCTCATGCCTATAATCCCAGCACTTTGGGAGGCCAAGGCGGGTGGATCACCCGAGGTCAGAAGTTGGAGACCACTCTGGCCAACATGGTGAAACCCCATGTCTACTAAAAATACACAAAAAATTAGCTGGGCATGGTGGTATGTGCCTGTAAGCCCAGCTACTTGGGAAGCTGAGACAGGAGAATCACTTGAACCCTGGAGGTGGAGGTTGCAGTGAGCCAAGATAGCGCCACTGCACTCCCGCCTGCCACTTGGGGGACAGAGTGAGACTTCATCTCAAAAAAATAAACCAAACCAAACAAACAAACAAAGAATAGCTCCACCCTCTTATTTTAAAAATAAATTATCAAGAAAATAATCTGCATTAGCCTCAGAAGATAATATTTCTTCATTTAGTGTAAATCATTGTTTGACGTCCGAAAGAGCAAATGGGTTATATTAGCACAGCTGGTTGCACATGGCACACTTTTAGGTGTAAGTAAAGAGAGTTAGTCCTAAAGAATCTAGATTTGACTAAAGGAAGATCACTGTAATATGCTTCTGATAATTTTGGCCCATTGTACATTAATACACAGAAATGCTATCTTGGGAAGTATCTAAAAATCGTTGTCATGTCAGGGTTTCAGTCAGCTGTTTCGTTACTGGATATTTCTTGAAAAATAGTGGATCATTTGAAGACCTAATAATTTGAGTTTTGTTTGGCAGATTTAATGTTCATATGTTGTTGATGTGATCATTTAGCCTATACTTCAATTACCGGGGGGCTCTATGAACTGTTTTGTAAATTTTGAGGTAGTTGCTTTGATGCAGCTGTAGAATAAAACAAGAACACCTAACTAAATAGCCTTTCATCTTTCCTTCAAAGCAAGAAATAAAAATAATCATTGCAAAGTAATGCTTTTTTGTGTTTCTTAGATTTTGACTTTCCTGATCACCTGGAAGTTACTAACATTAGTTTGTCTTGCAAAGCCAACATTTGTAGAACCTCTTCTATGTAAGAGAGATTGAACTAAATGAAATGCATTTTTCAAGTAAACTTTTTGGTAGCTCTCATTATACTACTTTGGTTCTCATAATATTTAACTCTAGATTTTTGCTTTTATCTTTGTATATCACATAATTTTAGAAGGCCTTTTTAAACTACAGCATCTTAACCACCAAATATTTATTAAACCTCCACATCCCTGCATTATGCCAAAGGCCAAAACGTGAAACTCTAAGTCAAGTCATCAAAAGAGTCATGTTGACTTCTCGTTTTTCTTAAGCGTCAACATTATAATTCTTGACCCTAAGGAGACATTTTAGAATTGGTTCCTGGGTTTTAGTGGGACTTCTAGAGATGCTTCAGTTAAAAACTATCATGCATTAAGCAAATCCATGCTGTGAAATCACTAAAAGGTATATATAGGTTCGACTAAAGCATTCGTTTGTTTTTCTTTTGCACTGTAAGAAAAAAAAAGTCTGTTTCAAATCCTATTTGTCCCTTATCTCTGTTTGTTCAGTTGTTTTTAATATCACATACTGAAAGAATTTCAATAGCAGTTTCACCATGAAGTCATTTGTTATCCTTCAGCAGGCTTTTGCCTACTGAATTGTAAAGCAGTTCTGACTATTTGCATCCTCCAGATGGAGCGGCATATAAACACTCCCAGATATTTCTGGTAAGTATGAAAAAATATCTTATTTGTCCTTTCTGTGAATAAATAAGAGAATGTCAAATTTTATAGACTAATAAATTTGTATGCCGGCACTGACATTGAATCTCTTGTGGCCTGCATTGTCACAGACCCTGAGAAACACATTTTTTGTTGTTGTTGTTACAGATGAATACTAAGTCAAATAGAAGCTCAATAAAAGGCACGGTTTGATTGCATTGTTTATGTCTGTCCAATATTCTAATTCAGTTGCAATATGCCATGAGGAAATGCAATTTACATGTTTCCCAGGTTTATTGCACAACAATCACTCACTCATATATACTTCTATCTGTCAGAGAAAACCCCACTAATGGGTTAAAATGCCCTTTAGCGTGTAGTGTGCAACAGCTGCCTTCCCAGTAGATTTAATGTTAATATTTATAATGTACTCTTACAGATATAGAAAAAGGTGATAGTGAAAGGCAACATAAATACCTAAATTTTTTAAATCTAAAACTTTTGATATGTTTATTATATATATAGACTTATATGCACATATGATAAACTCAGAAATAATACTTTTTATGGGATAAATCAGATCCCATCAGTTCAAGCAAATCTTTATGCACTTTTCCAACTTAAGATTAAATTTATTTCTTATTTTAAATTGATATGCATAACATAGGGTGTCTAATCTTCATATTCAGTTAAATAATGAAGCTCTGCAATATCAGCTGTGATTGACAGTTTAATACTGCTTTTACACTTGCCAGTTTTCATATTAAATCTTCTAGTTTCTTCCTAAATTAAATGCACTGTGATCTAAACAGAGTAAAATCATACATTTTACAAAGTAAACAGAATTAAATAACTTTTGAGTTAAATGTGTATAGTAAGCACTGAGAATTTGACTTGGCTTACTTTATCCATGTGAGATAAAGGAATCTTGTGAACTGAATACAGACTGATTATTTTCCAGTCTGGTTTTTTTGGAGAAGGAATTTTAATAAGTAATACATAATATTTATTTTCTTTCATTGTTACAATTAAAACAGAACTTGGTATCATATTTGTCAACACTGATTTGATTTCTGGAGAATAAATTTTTCTAAGTGCATTTTAGTTGAATGAAAGTATATCTGAGATATAAACATTTAGAATCAATTGTAATAATGCTTCAGAATGGAGGTTTATAAGAGTTTGGAAGCACAAATTCTATTTAAGTTATTACAACAGCATATTTGTATGCATTTTTTCCAATTATGAGCTGTGAAAAAAGGTTGAAGTTCAACTTGGGTACATTATTTTCATTATGATACATTAGCCACACATGTCTGCCCAAATGTCCTTGATCTCTCCAAAAGTAACCATAAGAAATTAAAAGTAACAATGTATTTTACATTTTATGAACTAATATAGCGGTAGAAGAAGGTGTGTGTGTGGGGGGGTATGTGTGATGTGTGTGTGTGCAGTAAACTACCCTATAGCAGACAGGACAAATATATTTCTTCACATTTGATTCTAAATTTGGAAGTTATCACAATATTAAATTATTTGATTCGTTATATGTTAGTATAAACATATAGGTATATATATGGACATACACAGAAATGTATATGCATATTTGTGTATATAAACACAGATACTCACACATATAAAAGCCACAGGTTTGGCCCAGAAACTGGCTATAAGAGTCTTTATAGACTAACTGAATGTATGAATTGGAAAGAACATTAGAGTGTCTCTAATCCCACCTCTTTGTTTCATAGATTGATCCCCAGGAAAGTTAAAATGGTAAAGTTGAACCAGATCTCACATCTAGGGATTCTAAGACCTGACGTCTGTCTTCCACATTGCCTATTTGATTCTGGCATTTATTGTATCTGTGAATTGTTTTGGAAATTTCTAGTGGCCTAATATCTCAGCAGTTACTACAAAAACCCACCCACACATACACATACACACATAGTGTGTTTATATATTCACATATACTATACAAACTGTATAAATATCAGTTAAACTGTCACTAAATTCTATACACTACTATATCACTGTATTTTTAAAAATAGTTCCAAAGAAAGTGCTATTTGAGCTCCTTTCAGTTATTAAGTCTCCTAAACATTTATCTTTTGTTTATTGACATGAGCCTCCCAGATTTCCGCTCATTTTGTTCAGCTGTAGTAAATTTGGCATTAAAGGATGATATTCAATCCTTGCTTCCTTTATAGAGTTGCACCAAAGTCAATGAGAATGTTACGCAAAAATAAAGGATAAACTATGGCCCGGGAATACTCATTTAAGACTGTAGCGCAGACCCACAAGACTAAGTTCAGTGCCTAGTAAGGGGTGCGTGCTAAATTTGACATTGCAGAAGAGTTTCCAGCTGTTGGCTTGATATGAAGGAGGAGAGCTGTTTTTATGACTGATTACTGTCCTCGGGAGAAAGAGGCAAGCGAAGCGAGGCTACATCTCTCCAATCCACAGAATGCTGCGCATATTCTGTAGCAATGATTTGCGAAGGCTCATAACTTTAATGGTTCATCATCAGGTGTCATGATTCTAGGCTTTGAAAATCCTAAAACCTAGGAAGGGAAGAGAAGGAATATGTGTAACTAAAGATGTAAAAAATACTCTAATAAAGTAAGATTACCTTTTTAAAAATTTCATGCTGATGATAAGTCACTTGTGGCTTGTCTCTCTAGCTAAAGTAACACAACTAGACTTTATTTGCCAGCTGTACTTAGAGATCTTGATTTTATGTTTTAAAAAATGTCATCTCTTCCTTCAATCACTTGTAAGTCCCCTGTAATCTCTTTTTAATGTAAGCACGCTGGAGTTTTCCCTTTTGTTTGCTGCCCTTGCATTATTTACTTTGATCTGCTGTGAGAAAATCTGAAAGTGTGTTGTCCTAAATGCTAGCATCTCACCAACAAGATTTGAGGCCTTGTAGTTCGCATTGAAGAAAAAGGCTCTTGTGTGAAGACGCAGGTTTTGTTTAGTTCTCTCTCCCTGGTGGGAACCTTAATTGCATTTTCTCTCTCTCACAGTGGCTGGCTAAGGAGTGCCTGCCTTCCCTGCTGATGCTGAAGTTTTCAAGCTCTATTACTCTGTGACGGAGAAAATTCTTTGGTCCAGGAAGAAAAGGATCAGATTTTTTTTTAAGTGTTTAAATAAGTATTGTCAATTTACCATGCACAATAAACAAAAAGAAGAAGAAACATTAGAAAAGCTTTTTTTTCCCCTCTGAAATTCTGATAGAAGTTTTATGTCACTCAGTTTATGAAATAATGGATTCTAAATATCATGAAGAGGCTCAGTCCTCAGGGCAAAAAGATTGGACTTAATAATAGCCAGTAAACAAAAAATATTGTTAATTTGTGTCCTTTCTTAGCCATTCTTATATGATTAAAATGTATATTCAAAGGGCTATTTCTGGAGTTAATATTAAATACTGAAATGTATGCCATTTTCAGATAGGTTGTAAAGATCTAATTTTATTAACCTTTTTACTTTCTATTATTAATACAACTTACAGAACATGTAAGCAATAGGGTTGAATCATTAGATCTACAATAAATATTTTAATTTGTTTCTCATCTGACAAAATATACTTCACCTGCCTGGCTATGAAGCTGTGGCCGCCATGTCAACTTCCACTTTCTATGTTTTCCATCCTGATGGGATGCAAGGCATTAAGAGCATCTACTTACAATTTCAAACTGTCTTAAATATAGAAGCTATATCGATCTATAATACACAAGGCATGTTTATTGTTTGAGGCCTAAATGCTTACATGCACATGTGCATAAGCTAATTGTATTTTTAAAAAACTATGTCTTGCTATTTCAACTAAAATAGATGATTCAAGTACGTATTTTATTTTTCAGGGCCTTAGTATTATTTTTTTCTTTCCTGTGGCTTACTCCTGAATCTTATATTGGGCTCTCTACCCGCCTTTTAAACTTTTTCCATTGTTAGAGCTATGTTTCTCTTGCAGCCTCCTTTTATTCACATTTGCCTTGTTCCAAGCTGTTGTCCACCAATGCCTGCCCCTCATGGTGCTCCCTTGAAAGGTATGCTCTCTGGTACTTGCTTGCTAGTGAGTTGAGAGGACCCTGCCTGTCCAAGAATAGCAGTGGGGTTTTGTGATGCATAGTTGAGTAGACAGTGCAAAAATAGGTAGAAGAAAGTAGCATGGGATTGGTTAGTTGAAGAGGGAGCAAGAGAGAAAAACATGTTAGGATGTTAAGCATGTGAAGAGAATAAAGATGCTGGGTGGAAAAAGTGAAGATACCTTTCTAGGGATTGGGATTATGGATTTTAGCTCTGACCATATGCTCCCATTAGTAATCATTGGGCCTTTCAGGCTTTGTGCAATGAGCTGAGCCCAGTCAACAGAGTCTTTTCAGCTATATTGAAAAGCAGTGATCCAACACATGAAGTGAAAACATCTCCTTGATACAAGAGTACACACGGCTTTAGGAACACATTAACATTATAAGACAGATATGATTGTCATTAAAAACAGCATCAGGAAGCCTAGGCCTTGCCTTATTATCTTAAAACTGGTTAGCAATGTAAAGGGAATTTTCTAAACTCTAACTTAAATGCATAATATACATTTGAATACGGTATGCTCTTTGGGTTATCTTCAGGATAGTGCTTTTTAAATCTTAACAGCAATCACATTTACAGCTAACAAGAATTTACTTTTTTTCATTGAATGATTAACTAGCAGGTGACACAGAGAGACACACTTATGTAACTTTGTTCTTCCTAATTAGTGCGAAATAAAAAGAAATTGAAGCAGATGACAAAGATACAACCGGGTTTCTTAATAATTTTATGGAGTATATATGTTTAACCTGGCGAATTCAGGAGCTAATTGGACCCTTATTAATTTTGTGGTTCAGAATACTCTTACATCTTAGAACTCTCACAATTGAAAATAAGAAACAAATTGCATTTTTAGAGAGTTCAAAGGACTCTGTTAGCATATTTTATTTCCCCTGAATCCCATTATATATTTTTATATGTGTACTTCTTAGAGAAATTTTTCTAGTGATCATCGCTTTTCTAGTGATCATTACTATTTATTATAGACTGAGAAAGAATAGTCAATTAGGATCCATACATTGCTGAAGTCTTAGAACAGATCTAGATAATTCAGCAAGTGGCTATTCTATTTATCAGCACATTTTATTATGATAGAAATTCTTTATGATGAAGGCTGGGGAACCTGATTATTTTTTAAAATAGGTCAAGAAATGGATCAGAAAATCTGCAGGGGATTTATCTCTGTTTCTAGTACTTCATAATGACAAAACTTTTCTTGGCTAATGAGCATGTCTGGGTGAATTCTAATATATAAAGAAAAGGGTAGGAGAGGGCAGTGGACTTCTAAGAGAATTTGTATAATTGCAGTGATTGAATTCAAAAGATTGGAAATAGTTTGAGAGGAGTAAAAAGTGATAGATAAGCCCCAGTTTGTGAAGCCAAACATACTCTGTTTTCTTATGTGAGTGGGTGTGAATCACATGAACAGAAAGGAAAATAGGCCATTTTTGTGCATTGTTGTATACCAATTCAGAGCGAAAATAATGAATTTTTCTACAAAACTCTGGCCTTAAAATTTTCTACTTTCTTTTTCTTACATGAGCACCATATTTATTCTAGCTTTATTCTACCACTACATTTAATTATTTACCCATTTTCTGTGAATTCATTTACTGAAGCACTGTTTACTGAGTGCCTACATGGAACAGGTACTATCTTGCCTACACATAGAAGTTCTAGAAGTTAGAAAACATCTTAAAACTAAAAGACTGGAAAACAGTGCAAATGTACTCCTACTTGTATGAAATTATCGATTTATTCAGGTCCTTGGTACCATTACAAATCCAACTGTTGTGCTAAAGTATACATCACCTTTAAAACAAAACTTCAAATTCACTGTACTCTCTCTATTTCATAAAGGCAGCAACCTCTCAGTTGTCCTCAATAAGTTTTTACTTTTATGCTAACACTTTTGTTATCTTTAGTTTTTTTTTTGTTTTTTTTTTTTTTTTAAACCTTGGAGAATATGTATTTCATCTCCCAGGATGAGAGCCAACCTATGTTAGTGAGTAAATAGAGTTAATACTATCCTGTTTTTTATTTTTATACCTCTTAAAAAAGGAAACAAAAAAAAAACCTTAAATCAAACCTAAATTATTTTGTGTCTTTTATGTTTTTTTCCATTCATTCTTTAAATGCCAGCTCCAGTGACACTTTCTCTGTGAAACTCTCCCTGCCCAGTCACTCTGAGCAAGAGTTAAGTATACCATAGAAAGATATTTAAATTTCAATCACTCCTCTTAAGACTCCTTCTTATAATCTATTGTAACCATTCCTTCTTCTCTGCCTTTCCTACTAAAGGCAATGCTCTTGGGGGCAGGTATCGTTGGTTATCGTTTCTGTATTCTGGTTCCCTGGTACAATATCTGAGCCATAAGAGTACAGGAGATATTTCTTAAATTAACTCAATCATCCTATAATTACTGTTATCACATTATTTTTATCTTACATTTTTGGAACCTCTGCCTGTCCTTTGATAGGAAAACATAAGCGGGGATCTTGATCTTGTTTGTATATGTTAGTGACTAAATTTCATCTCTTTCTTTTCTGTAGGAATATTAAGTACCTTTTCCTAGACTTTAGTTATAAGTTTATGTTCAGAATGAGAATGGAACTTGATAGTGATTAGCCAGTTTTCACCGTATTTTGTTCATCTTGAGTTGCCTTTTATTGTTTTATGAAGGCATCACTATGGATCTAATACAGCTATCTTTAGGTTTTGATGTTAGACCTCCAAATCCCTTACATGTCATAATCTTTCTGGTGATAGTGTTGTAACTCCTTTCTCTGTGCAGGAACGTGTGTACGTCTGTGTGTATAGCCACTGACTGGTCTTTTGAAGCAATGCCTTTATCTTTGTTGTTATCTTTCACTGTCAATGCCAGTTTCTTATTATTGATCCTTCCCTCTTTCACTGTCAATGCCAGTCTCTTATTATTGATCCTTCCTGTGATAATGGCTTGAGGGACTTTGAGGAATAATTTTTAAAAAATATTTTTGGTGGAAGAAATCTTCTTACTTTGAAGAAATTAGATAAAATAATTTCAACTTTGGCTGACAAATCCTGCCCTCTCGTTGGTTTATTAGCCTGCAATAATACCTATTACTACACTGTCTAGATTCAAATGTGCACAAATAACTGTCATGAATAAGTATTTTATTTTTGATTTCTCAGGATTGTTAGGTATGAAAATGAAGGTAAAAACTCTGGTTTAGTGCCTGCCAGAGTACGCACTATGGGAAAAAGCAGATGAATGGATGCTGATGACTAAGATAGTTCCTGATGCTGTGATTTTTATGGGAGATTTGTAAAGAAACTATTCACTTTAACACAAGATAATATTTGATACAAACTTTACCAGTAATACAGATTATTAGGCACTGGGACTACTGGAAGGATAAGAACACAAACATTTCTTTTTCAGTTTATTTATTTATTTTATTTTTATTTCTATTTTGTTTATTTATTTATTTATTTGAGACAGTCTCCTGCTGTCCACAGGCTGGAGTGCAGTGGCATGGTCTGCACTGACTTCAACCTCTGCCTCCCAGGTTCAAGCAGTTCTTCTGCCTCAGCCTCCTTAGTGGCTAGGACTACAGGCATGCATCACCATGCCCAGCTAATTTTTTGTATTTTTAATAGAAACGGGGTTTCACCATTTTGGCCAGGCTGGCCTTGAACTCCTGACCTCAAGCGATCCACCTGCCTTGGCCTCCTAAAGTGCTGGGATTACAAGTGTCAGCCACCAGGCCCAGCCACAAACATTTATTTTCTAATGAAATGATGTTTAATGGGTTTTGCAGAATAGGAGGATGAGACATGAGTGAAATGTGTCCATTTTGCCTGAAACTTAAGGGTCTGTAGGATGATGAGATAGTTACAGCTTTGGAGATATATTTTACTGGGCAACCAATGTCTAGTTGAGAAATTGGTACTTATTGCAGTAATCAGTGTAGCATCATTCAAGCTTTCTGAAGATGGGATGATCTGATCCAATTCAACATTTTAAAAACATATGTAAAGGTTCACAAACCTTTTGTGTAGTGTGTGTCAGAAAACAGAAATAAGGAAATGTTATACTGAACTGAGGTTGCCAACTCATATCTCATAGAAACATCATTTTGTTCAGTCCAGAGTGATCTTTGAACCACATGAATTATGCATCAAATTTACCATGAAAATTCCAAAGAAAAATCATAATTGTTAGGTCGTCTAAGAATCCTAAAGATCTGGACCTTGGCCAGGCATGGTGGCTCACGCCTGTAATCCCAGCACTTTGGGAGGCCGAGGCGGGCGGATCACGAGGTCAGGAGATCGAGACCATCCTGGCTAACACGGTGAAACCCCGTCTCTACTAAAAATAGAAAAAATTAGCCGGGCGCTTTGGCGGGTGCCTGTAGTCTCAGCTACTTGGGAGGCTGAGGCAGGAGAATGGCATGAACCCAGGAGGCAGAGCTTGCAGTGAGCCGAGATGGTGCCACTGCACTCCAGCCTGGGTGACAGAGCTAGACTCCGTCTCAAAAAATAAATAAATAAATAAATAAATAAATAAATAAATAAATAAATAAAAATAAAAAAGATCTGGACCTAGTGTTGGCATGGCAACAGTTCTCTAGAGGTGAGTTACAGTTGCTTCCTTTCTGTGGACCTGTGTGCAGGTTCACTGTGGTTCCCACAGGATTTGTTTGTTCCCTGCCTGGTTCTTGAGGCATTTGAGCTTGTGGCCTTTATTATAACCTAATGAACCAAAGGGAAGGCACAGTGAAAGTTTCAAACTTACCATAACAAAATCTCGCTCTGTCACCCAGGCTGGAGTGCAGTGTCACTATCATAGCTCACTGCAGCCTCAACCTCCTGGGCTCAAGTGATCCTCCCACCTTAGCCTCCCAAGTAACTGGACTACAGGCACGTGCCACCACACCCAGCTAATTTATTTTTATTTTTTGTAGAGATAAGGTCTCGCTATGTTGCCCATGCTGGTCTTGAATTCCTACGTTCAGGTAGTTCTCTTGCCTTGGCCTCCCAAAATGCTGGGATTGCAGACATGAGCCACTGAGACCGGCCTATTCTTAGCAATAATTTGAAAATGTATTTCACTATTCAGGGAGTGTAACAAGAAAGTTAAACAAAACATTAAAAAGGCAGGAAAGAAAGTGATTTCACTTTTATAGCACATTTTTTATTTTACCAAAGGAAGAGTAAAAGTTAAGTGAAGGAAGAGAGGGGAGAGAGGAACATTCTTTTCATTAAGAGAATTTTTTTTTTTTTTTGAGATGAAGTCTCTCTCTGTCGCCCAGACTACAATGCAGTGGCGTAGTCTTGGCTCACTGCAACCTCCGTCTCCCAGGTTCAAGAGTAGATTTTCAACACTGATAATTCTATCAACTTGTAGCTAATTTTCAAAAATATGTGGTAGCCTCTGTTTCATACCGTGTTATTTGTAATGCCCTGCATATTTTATTTGATATGTTTTATAAGGGATAAACAAAATAATATATTTAATCTAAATATACATAAAGTGCTCCAGAATCCTCTGAAATTTAAATGATAGTGTCAATGTAAAAATAATGTTATTATTTGATTGATCACATAAAAATGTTAATATCATATAAATTTATATAGCACAATGAAAAAACTCTAAAATGCCTCACTGAACCTTCCTCAGTTCCCTCAACTTGCCAAGCTCTTTCTAACTTTTCAGTCTTTGTGTATGCTTTTTTATCTGGAAGCCTCTCCCGTTCTTTCCCTTGCTGATGTAATTCCTATTCTGGTCACAGTTCTTTTTAAATCTCTATTGATCTTTACCTGACCCTTATCCCCCAGTAATGTTTTATGGTTTACACAGCCTTTTTATATATAATATCCCATTTGATCCTTATTATTTTCATTCATTCATTCATTCATTCATTCCTTCCTTCATAGGATGTTTTTGAAGCACCCACAATATGCCAGGCACTAATATAGAGAAGAGGTTTCCAGAGATTTAATAAAGAGTTTTTGTTCTCAGCTCACAATATAGTAGGAAAGAGAAATAAGTCTGCATAATTCTCTGTGGTGAGTCCAAAACTTGAGATTTGCACAAGTAGAAACATAAAATAGGTGGATGCGGTTGAGTAGAGGTGGCCAGGGATGGGAAGGAAAAAGACAGGGAAACTTTTTTGTTGAATTTTGAAGATGTCAAAGAAGAGATCTGGGAATAGAGGGGAAAGGAGAGGTGGAGAGGTAGCAAGTATCTCCATCACTCCATGAAATGGAACTATTTTTGTTTGGTGTGGTTATTGTTTTACCACTTGAGCTTCCAATATGGTTTAGGTTGTATGCAAAGCGCTCTGCAAGCATTAAGTCACTCATTTTATTAAATGACTCAGTAAAGTAAGTACTTTTTACAAGCAAAAAGTTGGAGGTCCAGAGAAATTAATGTGTCTTACTCAAAGTATATTTTGCGTTGCCACTTTCTGCATTCTATTTTCTAAATGGTGATGTTAAAAGGGTATAGCTGTTCTTTCTCAGATATCTGGATGTGAATGAAGTTAAGTTTTGTTCTAAAATCCAAAATCAAACTCTTAAAACGTTTTCTGTTACCTTTGCATGTTATATATATATGTATATAAATATATATATGTGTATATATACGTATATACGTATATATACACATATATACGTATATACGTATATATGTGTATATATACGTATATACGTATATATATACACATATATACGTATATACGTATATATGTGTATATATATACGTATATACGTATATATGTGTATATATGTGTATATATGTATATATGTGTATATATGTATATATATATATTCAGCCCTTTGTTTTTGTTAAATTCTCATCTTTTCACTATATCCACACTGTAAGAAAGTTTGACTTAGGTATGACAGAAGAAAAGGTATCAAAGTTAAGTCTTGCAAAATGCCATTCAAATCTTGCTGAAAAAGGGGAGCAACTTTCTTTTCTAAATCTGTGTATATGAATGGTTACAATGAAAATATCACATAAAGCTCCAACTTTCTGGTATCTGCCTTTCTTTAGTGATCATTTGATAAACAAATGCCATGTTAGACCAGTGTTTCTCCTAGGGTAACAATTCTATAAACTATACCAGAACAAATTTATTGTTTCCAAGTTTAATTTTTTGGAAATGTTATTCTTAAAGAAATGATAAATATATGAAATTCTGAAAGGAGCTTACTATGTGTTTCAAGAGCTATGCTTAAAACATATGATTTCTACATATTGTTAGCAGAGGAAAGTTGCAGTTTATATTTCTTTACTTTCATTATAAGAATTTTTTTTATAAACTATTATAAAGAAAACAATAGTTATGCCTTTTGAAAATTAAGATTTTTTTACTAGATTTTTCAACTTAAATTTCTCCAAAAATTGGGGACATTTGTTCAACATTATAAAGCTATAATCCACAGAAAGTTAATTTTAAAACTATTGAGTGCTCTCATTTGTCACTGAAGGGAAGTTTGAAAACAGAAATCAGGGAGTTTATTCCTCTAACATTTACTCTAATGTTAAAGACAAAGATCAGTAAAATGTATATCTCAAAATATTAATTACATTTGACTTATGTAAAAATCAAAGTATCAAGAAATTAGTGAGTTAATTGTCAGAAATCTGGCTTCTACTACTGATTCTGAATATCACCGACTGAGTTGTCTAATCTCTTGGAGCAATGCATTGTCTTTTGTAAATTGAGAGAAATAACTAGCTTATTTATAAGGTCCACTTCAATTCTGAAGTTTTATAGTTTTATTTATTTATTTATTTATTTATTTATTTATTTATTTATTTATTTATTGTAGACAGGGTCTCACTCTGTCGCCTAAGCTGGAGTGCAGTGGTGCAATCTCGGCTCACTGCAACCTCCTACCTCAGCCTCCCAAGTAGCTGGGACTCTAGGCACAACCCCTTACTACCAGCTAATTTGTGTATTTTTTGTAGAGATGAGGTTTTACCATTTTACCCAGGCTGGTCTCAAACTTTTGGGTTCAAGCAATCCACCTTCATTGGCCTCCCAAAGTGCTGGGATTATAGGTGTGAGCCACCACACCTGGCCTTATAATTTATTGATTTAATAATTCATATATACTCAATATGAATGTTGAGAATAGTGGGAATATTACACATAAATACTTAAAATTAAACGTCTGACAAAGGTTAGCAAGTCTTCTATTTGTTGTCCAGTAGAAATCCAAACTAGACAAAACAAAACAAAAATTTAGGAAAAAATATAGCTCCAATCTACAAGTTTGGCGTTTGGATTAGTTTTTTTGTGTTTTAAAATGATGGACATAATATAGATGCAGTCACTGCCAATATAATTATATATAAAATCACATAGATTGTTAAAAGCAAGCTAGGATAATGCAGTTCAGAACAATTCTTGTTTATTTATACATGAGTTTCTAGAAGAGGGGAAGTGATACTAAGTTTGATTAGCATCAACGATGTACCATAAAATTTTTGAAAATTTTGTCTACTTAATGCTTATAATAACCCTATGATATAGATGTCATTATTCCCATTTAACTCATGAGGAAACTGAGACTTACTGTTCAAGCTACCAAACAGTTTGTTGGAGACACGCTAAGAGCCAGGACTGTCTGACTCTGAAGTTCCTGTCTCTTTAAGGCTATACCGTACGGACAAGAAGAAGAAGGTGGAAATGTTTCCTGTCTCTTTAAGGCTATACCGTACGGACAAGAAGAAGAAGGTGGAAATGTTTCCTGAGCTCCCCTTTACCATTTTAAGGAACTCATCTGAAAACAACAAGAGGGTGATTGTTGTAAACCATGGGGGCAAAACAGTGAAATATATTTGATAACAGGAATTACAGGAAGCTGAAAGAATAGATAGCATAATTTGGGATAAGACAGAAAACTATGAATAGGCCTAGAGTGCTTTGAGGATGCTTATCAGATGTTTGCATTGGAGGTCAAGAGGCTTCTGAAACTTCTGGGACAGGGTCTGGGTGGGGAGTGATGAAGGAAGAACAAGTTGTAGAGATCAAGTCAGATGAGAAGTCACTTGCTGAAGGTAAAAGATAAAGAAGACAAAGAAAAAAATTACCAGTGAGTGACAAAGTAAAAGCAACAGCAGGGTTTATTTGGGGTGTAGAAAAGATGCTAGTTTTTCTATCTGGGTAAGTAAAATTTAAATATATGTTTTATTCAGTATGAAATGAAATGATATGTAAGAAGGTACCCTCAAAAAGTGAAAAAGCAGCTGTATAAGATTATTTCACATGACTTTATGAATGATACCTTTTCAATGAAAGCAAATGATCCAGGGACTCTTAGGAATTAAGACTGTTATTTCTCCTTTTTTATTGCTTATTATAGCATCACCCAAAATGGAAACAATGAATTAGCATTAACTGATCTAATTCTTTATTAATCAATATATTAAGAAAATATTGCATTAAAATAACATCTAAAGTTATAATACCATACTATTTAACTTTTCTTTAGGTATTTCCAAAATTAATAAACTCAATTATACATAGGTGTTACATGTCAAAATTAGCCATGGTAACTCTCACTTCTATAATCTGACCTTTCTAAAAACCTGAAAATCAAAAGTTTATCTTGAATACATCCTAAAAATAGCAGTAAAAAGTGACTTCATAATGGTGTTGCCAACCTTGGTTGTGAAACATTTTACTATGGACTATTTCCCTCATAGATTGTGCCCATTAAAAATGGTTCTGCTAAAATTTATAGTGTAATAGTGACTTTGAGAAATACACAGGAAGGAAGGAAATGTTTGGTCAAATTACTGCTTAATTATTCCAAAGCTGGAGTGACTGGCTTTGTTTTGCGCCCTTTTACTGAATAACTTTTGATAACAATCAAACTGAAAAGTCAAGAAATTAACTTTTATGGAAATTGAGTCATGCCTTAAATTCATTTTTAATTCTTATACTGCTTATTTAGTAACCAATAAAACTAAACCAAGTTGTGCTATGAAGTGAAGGATCATAACTTCAAATAAGCAATTCCATTTTCTCCATTATCCCTACACTTGGCTGGCAAAGAGTCTCTAGGAATTTTTTAATGTATTATTTAAAATTGAAAATACTAATGTTCATACTAATATGATGTTAGATTTTTCAGTTATGTTTACTGGCAATAACAAAAAATTTAAATTCAGTTCTGTTTACTGCCTATCATTGTGTTATTTTTTCCTTCCTCTGTCAGTGACCTTCAAATAATCTTAATAATATAAAGGAATGTCTGTGACAACTATATTCAGTTTAGACTTCACATTTTACAACTAAGACAATGTTACATATAAATACATAAGAACATATCATAGCTAATGTATATATCTTTGTGTGAATATGCATTTGTTTATATATGTATCTATGTTTATTTTTAGAGACAAAACTTTAAAACCAATACAAAGATATTAAATCATTTTGCGATTGTACTAAGACAGTAGAAAGTGAAATGAACATACCATTATCTTTTAAAAATTTATATCACAGCCTTAATTACCTGGTTTGTCTATATGGCCATGGCACCAGAATAACTGTTATCTGTCTGTCTTCTTCAGTTTGTCAATTTGAGGTGGCAATTGTTTTTCTTGAAGAGACTTGCCCTGTTGCCCAGGCTGGAGTTCAGTGGCATGCATTTATGGCTCACTATAGCCTCAAGCTCCTGGGCTTAAATAATCCTCCTGCCTCAGCCTCCTGAGTAGGTAGGATTACAGGCGAGCACCTAGCTAATTTAAAAAAAAAAAAAAAAAAAAAAAAAAAAAAAGCTTGTGTTGAGATGGAGTCTTGCTCTGTTGCCCAGGCTGGTCTCGAACTTCTGGCCTCAAGAGATCCTCCTTCCTCCATCTCTCAAAGTGCTGGGATTATAGGCATGAACCACTATGCCCTGCTAGGGGAGCATTCTTGTAGCACCTTTCAGTGATATCTTTTGGTAAGCAAGATGGCACCGATTTCACATCACTTTTGGCCTAGCGATATGTTTGTAAAGACCTAGGAACAATGATCTTTCTAACAATGGCCTGTGTTGATGAATCATCAATTTAGTTTCATAGAAAATGACAGTGACCTATTTTGTCCCTGTCTACCATAATGCCTTATGGTTTTCTGAAGAAGAGTTGGATTTGTTAGAGATTATAGTGCCTTTTGAGGACATGTACCTAGAAAGTGTGTTCTAGAATGGACAGCATTCTGATCTAATACAATGAGCACACTGACTTTGGAGTCTGATTAACCCAAGAATGAGTCAAAAGTTACTAAGCTTTTAAAATCCGTTTCCACATCTGTAAAGCATGGATTATAAATAATGACTTCCTCAAAGGGTTGGTATCATAACTAAATTATACGGTTTCTACCATATAATATGCACTCAGGAGGTGTTTCTTCCTTCTGCCTCCACATGTTTTCTACTGTAGTGGGATGGCAGGACTTCATCACTTCTACCTTGAAACCTACAGTGTCTCACAAGGCTGCAGATGAAGAGAGTCATTCCCATTTAAAGAACACTATGTTATGTTGTCCAGTCTATTTGCATGTTGATAACAGAAACCCTCCATACTGAGAAATATAGACATGACCAGATTATTGTGTGATGTGTAAAATATGAAGATAATTTTGGCAATGTAGCTTCTACCTTAGAAGCTAATTGCTTGATTTTGCATCTGTTTTCAGAATACTCAGTGGAACTTTAGGTGTATGCATTCTAGTTGTGTATACCAATTTGTAGTTGACTAATTCTGCAAATCTAACTGATTAATATGAACACCAGAAAAAAATAATTTCACTTCAGGGCAATGTTAACCCAGGGAGTCACATCACTGAATATCATTTTGAAAATTTGTTTATTAAAAACATTTCTTTGACATTGGAGCAGCTAACTTGTTTGTGGTGTTGTTGCTATTGTTCCTTTTTTTTTTTTTTTAAACAGGCAATAGAGTGACTGGCCTGTGCCATTATTCTATTTATAGAAAGTAAAATTAAAGCCTTAAAGATAAACATGCATAGTTTGTGAACAAATGCAAAACAACAACCTTTATGAAGATTATTTGTACGCTATTTCCACTGGTTTACTCCAAAGATATATTCTCAATGATAATAAAGTAATAAAAGATTGTTTTCACAGCTGTTTGTCTTTGATTACATATTTCTTTGAAGTACTGTAATAAGACAGACTTTGAACCTGGAAAGAGATCAAATAATGAATTGTTCTGCTTTGTGAAGCTTAAGAAGGGATTTTATTGTCGAAACATATAGTGCGACATATTTTTTCTTCTAACAGTTAAATAATGGTTGAAAGTACTATGAGATCATTACAGATGGACTAGATTAAAAGTCTTGGGGCCAAGTGTTAGTGATCGTTACCAAAAATTGGTGCTTTGGTTTAAAAAGTCAGGTTTTACAATTACCAAACATTTCATTGGTTTAGTTTTGAGTTAAAATAGAACACAGTATTAATGCTAGAATATATTCTCAGACTTGTAATATTTATATCTAAAGACAATATAAAACTTACATTCACAGATCTCAAAAGACTTATGCCAAATTTGTTATCCACTTCAGGTTTAGGCAGATTAGATTAAAGAGATTCTGTAAATTAAACTAAATGTCATTAGATAAAAGAACATTAACAAACATCATATGGTTTTTCTTTTATCTAAACTAGCAATTTTGAAAATGTAGCGGAAAGTTCAGTAGTAACACTCTTAATAGGTTTTCAGATGTTACATATGAATATGGTTGTAACTATTGTTATTTCTACCTAAATTTTCCGCAAGAATTACATAGTATCTATCAATCAGCAGAGGTGTGGTACATATTTTAAAATAATAGAATTAGGGATAATCATTGCAGCACTTTGCTCAACCTAGGATATATGTACTATGTAGTATCATTATAAAGCATTAAATGGTAATTGGGTGGGCATTTCAATATAGCATATTTTGTTATTATAGTTATATCGAAACAACATTTTGCTTTTGTAAACACTTGGCAGTTCATGAGTATACATTTTAGAGAGTAAGAATAACATGTATGTGCATATTTTTAGATCTCATTTATTCAGCATACTATTTCTCTAAACTAGTTTTTGTTGTATTTGGAAGAAACTTTTTTCTTTATTTAAGATATAAACCTTTCAAATGATAATTTTCATGGAAATACTAGACAAAGGAATATTGTAACTTTAGAGTTTTTATGATGAAGGTGTGTTTAAGAGATGTCACTTTGATATTTTTACATTATGTCCTACATTTGTCAGCTAAAACCAGGATATTGCCTCAATGAGAAAAAGCATGTTCTGCACTTGTCAAAAGGCAGTAAGTAATGATTAAAATAGCAGTGTGAAACGCTAGGAGATTAAAGTGATGCTAATGATAAGTGAGAGAAGAAAAGGGCAAGCTATATTTTAATCCCTGAGAGAATGGTTAATGACTTCTATTGCCTGAGATTAAACTAAACCTGTCTCATCAGCTTTTTCTGCCTGGTGAAAAAAAGCTCTCTGCACTTTAATTTATTAAAGTCTTTTAAGGAAGCACATTGATCTACAGAGGTTAAACTTTTAAAAATTGTGCAAAATACACACAAATGCTTTAACAAAAGTGTGATTTTGTTGCTTTTAGGCATGCTCACATATTCATAAAGAACCCATTGTCTATTCCTTAGTATGTTTAATTAAGGAATGTTAATTACTCAAACTAGAAGGTTTATTCCTTTTAAACATCAGAACATATTCATATTACTGTGTAGGCAAGGGGCAAGTATACTGTAGAGGATATCAGTCTATATGAAGAGATTAATTTACAGTTGTAATTACTGCTTGGTTTGTTTAGAATAATACATGTACAGTTCAGAAAATGAATTATTTTATTTTAAAACCCTTTTAAGGATAGTAAATTGTAATCTTTAAATAGATCAACTTGCCAGTAACTTTAGATAACACGTTATTGTGAATTTCAATGTTTGATGATTCTCTTGGACTTTTAATTATAGTGGCTTTTTTTTTTCATCCTTTACTCATCTTCAACCATAAATGGTAACCCACCTTTATGTAACTAACATTTACCTTTATACAGTAATATTTACCTTTTCTTAGTGAGATAAAGAGTGTGTGTGTATGTGTGTGTGTGTGTAATGATATGGATATAAGAAGATGAATAATAAGAATTTTACTCAAATCCTTTCTATGAGTTTGTAGCCCATAAAAATGTTTAACATTTACCAACACTATATCTTAATTATGTTAGGTTATCTATCACAACAGAATAATTTCCACCAAATCAGGTCATAACAGTTCATTGATTCTTTGTAACAAGAAAAATGTTGTTTCTACTTTCTAGAATGGGATACTTGCCCTTTCTAGAGTTCTGTAAGTTCTACTTTGGTTCAAAAGTTACTGATTAGTTGCAAAAATGGATGCAGGGATACTTAAATTGACATACTGATTTGCATTTAAATACTAAGTGACTTTTTAATTCAACAATTTCGTGGCCGACTTGTATCTCAGCTTAGAAGAAATCTGTCATTTGGTCATTCTGGCAAAGATTTATTTATTTATTTATTTATTTATTTATTTATTTATTTATCCTTTTGCTTCTTTTTGCATTTGCTGGTGGTGTTCTTCTTCATAATTCCATTATTAATACTCCTCATTCTTAATAGTATATTTCTTTCTATTGACTAAACCAAGAGCTATAAGGAAGATCTTTCCTAAAATTTCATTATCTAAAATATTTTTAAAACTTTATTTTCTATGTAACTTTTTAGGCTAGGGAGTTTAAACTGAGTACATTCTTTGATGTTAATGAAACACCAATTTTTCTGAAGGCCATGTAGCCCTAATGAGCAGCTTCTTATAAAAGAACATTTAATCAAGGTTTATTTTTAACTTGTTTAAACAGATCTAATAGTTTGTGCTGATTTCATTTCAGTATAATAATTGCTAGCAATCCTATTAGTAAGTCCTAGTACAGGGAAGTTAACACAAATTCCAATCTAATGAGAGTGGTGTCACAGCAAAAACCATGTAGTCAAGGAAAGATCAGTATTGCACTGGAGGGAAAGAGGCACCTGGCTATTCTGTACATAGTTTTGTTGCCATAAGTCTTTGAGTTCTGAGTTACTTAATGCTTACATGGAATTTACTAGATTTAGTTAATTCAGTTTCTTATGGCCTTTAAAAGGCAAAAAAACTTAATGAAAACAACACCTACTTTAGGGGGACGTTCTGAGAAAATAAATTACGTTTTCTACCCAAGCACATTTTGGTACACATAATTTTCTTATAATAAAGCCTATTATGTCACTTAGTTTTAATTTGTTACAAGAGCATACATAAAAATTAATCTTTAAATGCGTTCTTTCCTTCTTGAGCTTCAGATTGAAGAAAATGAAATGTTACTGGATTACGGGGCATGTGAATAATATAACTGATAGAATTAAAGGATGATTTAAGACTAGCAGAATGATGGATAATTTCAGCTGATATTGTATAATAGGATAATTTTTAAAAGAGGTGACAAAATAGTCTGATTAAGAGCCAAATATTTTAAATACCGTTAACTTACTATTAGAATTGGTTTAAAATAACATTGTTGATACTTTAGACTGTTCGGTGAGTGTGAAGATTTCATTGCATTCAAAAATGAAAACAAGATAAGAAGTAAGACTCTGGTAGAGAAAACGTACGAAGGCAAGGATTTCAGGCCTTGTAATGAAAGTGCATATCTGCCAAGTTCAGGTTATAATCTTTTAAACTTTTTATTACTTAATATGACACAGTGACATTTAAAATATGGAGAAATTGAAGATAAATAATATGGAGTGAATGGCAGAATTGATTTAAAATTTTAAAGCTGTACTAAAAGTATTCTAATGCACTGAAGGACATTTGTAAGTTATACATTGTTTATAGGTTTCTGATGAGAATCCCAAAGCATAATGTATTAGAGCTTGCCTTTGCCATGAGGGCAAAAGAATATTGTCCATAGAAAATAGTGGATAGTAAAATTTAGCCTCTTTTTTTATTCATGTAAATCATCTGCTTTTTGTGAAAGGTTTTTATGCATAAGATCATGTCACATATTACTAATTTCAACCAATAACTGATATATTTGGTCTTCTGGAGGATTTCTTTATGAGATTATCATTTATTGTTCTAAAAAGTTGAAATTAGAATAACGAATGCTGTGAGAACTGTGATTTTTATACTCTCAGTACAGAATAAGGAGTACTTTTTCACAATGGTTTTAAAATCTTGGTATGCTGATAACTTGATGATTTAAAAGTATCTTTTACTACATTTGGTTAAAAACTGTCTGATATACAATCTACTATTTTTCAGAAAAGTGACCCTCACAAAGTGCACATGATACTCAACCAAGGTGCTTGATAACAATGTAGATTTATTGGTCTCATCCTGGATATACTTAATTTCTCACTCTAGGAGCAGAACCTGGAAATTCTTATTTTTAATGAAGTTCCACAGGTGTTTCTATTGCACACAAAAGTTTGAAAACTACTATTTTAGAGAGAGTGCAACACTTCATAGGCTAAATGGAAGGGTCTATTTTTGGCACTTTGTTAGAATAAACCTAGAAGATTTTTAGTGTAGAGTTTTTATATGGAATCTTTAATGTGGTTAAGAAAAAAAAATTATAAAGGCATTTGTAGCTTTAAATATGAAGAGTATGTGGTACATAGATGACAAATTTAGGACATCTTTCACAGATGCTGTATACTCAAATGAATCATGTCATCTGGCTCAAGTTGCTATTCTATCTTAACTGCAAACAAACTCACACTATTTGTACTGAATGCTTATACAAGTTGCATTCTGAATACTAAGTTGGCATGTATTTACAAATCTGAGAGAACTGCTATGTTTAATGCACAGGTTGTCATAGAAACTAATTAACTTTTATTTCCATGTCAAGATAAAGTAGTGTAATACAGATGAAAATTGTAGCAAAGGAAATAGTATCACAACTAAGAGAAAAAAAGCTCCAAGACTCAGAAAATGTGCAATCAAAATGCGTGATGTCAAATAACTCAGTGGTGGATTGTTTTTAATTCTGCAAATTATGATGTTAAAAATTGTACAGACAGAGTCCACATTTTCCTAGAGCTGTTTAAGCAATTTAAATGGAATTTGGCAAACAATAGATTTAGTATAACATCTATCAAACAATGCCAGAAAAGTTTTCCAGCTTAAAGATTATTCTGTATTTATTTGAGCTGCCTTATTTTGTTCTACAATTACCTGTCTTTTGAATTAGAGAAGAAAAAATATGTCATCCATGAAGCTCACAGTGTGCTCAGGGCTGTAGAACTGTAACTGCAACACTTTTAAAAACATCTTATTTATTTGAGAGCAAATATTAATACATTTCATACTTTTTTCCAGTCACATTTGTTGAATATGTTTTCATCATAAGAAAGCAATACACCCTTCTGACATAGGCCAGAGAGGAAAGAAAAGAAAGGCAATCTGTAAGAATAAAGCATGAACTTTCATCACATCTTGGCACATCCTAAACCTTCCTACCTGCAGTAAGCTTTCTCCCTGGCCTAGTCATTAGAGAAATCGACATCTTTTTGTGGCCTTATACTTGTTCCAAAAAGTGAGGATGGAAAGTAGGTAATCTATGAGTCATCTTTGTTTTGATTATGGCATGTCTTATTCAAGGAGAGTGACGATGAAGGTAGAATTAATGGTGAAGAATATTAAAAGAAAGAGGTCAAGTAATGTGATTGAATCGCTGGGACTGGAGAGACAATAATGGGGCTTATATTCTTTAAATGATTTTAATGAGAATATACTTAACATTCTGAAATTCTAATTATATGATAGCCCATAGTACTCTTAATACTACTAATAATAGGAAATTGCAGAATTCAATACGTAAAAATTAAACTTTTTAAAAATGCTAAACTTTGCCTATGGAGCTAAATTATATCTTATTTTAAAATATTGCTTCATTGCTACTTATAATATTTTTAATTATATTATAAAACATATTCTTCTCATCCCACTGAAACTTATACAGAAGGAAAAGTGTTAAAGGGCTAGGAAAATATTATTTCATCATTTCTGTTCCATTAGAATTCACTTGGGTGGCTGAGAAAATGGTTTATGGATTAGAGAGGGAAGAACAAGCTAAAACATTTCATACCTTCATCTCTGATAAATTCCCCAAACTCATTCTTTGCATCTGAGCCATAAATAACAACCATGCTTTTTGCTATAAAGAGCTTTTTGCCTACACCAGGTCTTTTGTCTTGGAGATGAATGCTATAATAAATTTGGAGTCTTGGGGGGGCATTGTTTGAACTATAACATTATGGTTTACAACTGTTGCTTCTATGATGAGGAGGATAAAAAGCGACTGTGAAGCTTGATCTCTGTCATAGAAATGGATTAATATTTCAGTCTTCAATATGGGTCAAGTGTATGATTCTCCCCAAAGCAATTCACCATGATTAATTTTTATTATGTGGTCATTCAGATTCTCTTTATATTCTTAGATATTTTATTCCCCCACCAAATCGCCCCTTGAAATACTATAACTTAGATTTTTCACATAATAGCAGAAACACAAGATTTTTAGATTCTTATAACAGTTTTAATAAAACCTCATGGAAGAAACCTCTAAAGTGTTTTCTCAAAAATTATATGAATAACTTAAATAATAGTAGAAACTTAAATCATTATATTGATAATAATTAATATTAACTTAATTTATTGATAAACAGTGTTAAATATATATTAATTGCAAAGTAATATGATGTTTTAATTTGCCAATGACTAAGTAATTAATTATTAGGAAAATGTACTCTGTCACTGGGGAAAAAATGGCAGTTGCATAAAGATGTAGCTTTTAAAGTCACCTTTTTCTGAGGAGAGGAGGGTGTTAACTAGGAAAACAAGACCTCTCTGTTGTCTTTGTTATCTTTATCTAGACTATAGTTTTTCACATATATCTGCAAGATGCTAATGAGTTTAAAACTTTGGGGGAAAAAAACTTTTTTGGCCTTTAATTAAGTGAGAGCTTTTTTTTTTTAAGCCTTTTCTCAGGAGGAAACTGACACATTTTATGTGTAAATAATTTCATGTATTGAAATTGTTTTTTTCAGTGCTTTCATTCCTCCCTTTGCCCTGCAAAATTTAAGGAACTTCAAGATATTAATTTTCAGTGCTTACATTAAGAATTCCTACAAAGTACTTATAAGAGCAATCAACAAGTCTTATTCAATTATTTATTTTACAAGTTATTGTTGGCAGTCTACTGACTGCCAGTCATGTCAATTGTAAATTGAAGGGAGCCATGAAGCTGTGGGAAGCCCAAACATTCCCTACAGACAATTATATGGGGAGAAATAGTTACAATCACTGGGATCAGGGCTAATGGAGGTTACATTATGTTTGGTACAACTATATATAATTTAGTTTTGCTAGGCAGTAGGTCTCAAACCTGGCTACACCTTAGAAAAAACTGGGTTGCTTTAAAAAAATTCTGATGCACAGGCTTCACCTTAAGAATCTCAAGAGCTGAATGAAGCCCGGCCATTGGAATTTTAAACATCTCCACAAGTGATTATAGATTCTAAGGTACTTAAAGGCTACAGGTGACAACCTGAAGAGAAGAGGGTACAGATGGAGAATGAGAAGGAGAGGTGAGTAGGAAATTTAGGGGAAATAGTAAATAATCTTTTTGAGGCCAGGCGTGGTGGCTCACGCCTGTAATCCCAGCACTTTGGGAGGCCGAGGCGGACGGATCACGAGGTCAGGAGACCGAGACCATCCTGGCTAACACAGTGAAACCCCGTCTCTACTAAAAATACAAAAAATTAGCTGGACGTGGTGGCGGGCGCCTGTTGTCCCAGCTACTCAGGAGGCTGAGGCAGGAGAATGGTGTGAACCCGGGAGGCGGAGCTTGCAGTGAGCAGAGATCGCGCCACTGCACTCCAGCCTGGGCGACAGAGCGAGACTCAGTCTCAAAAAAAAAAAAAAAAAAAATGAAGAAGAAGAAGAATAATCCTTTTGAGCAACAGCATTAGATTTAGACCGACTCTGTTTCACATCCTGGCTTGGTCATTTTCTTATTCCATGACTGTAGATGTTAGTTGTTATGGAAACATTACTTATAAAACTGGGGGTCTTAAATCTCACTTCCTAGGATTGCTAGAAAGAGTAAATAAAATAGTGTATGAAGACATTTCAACAGTGCTTGGCACATCCTATGATAACCATCATTATTACTGTTTAAAGATGGCTGGAGAAATGGGCAGGAACCAGATAATAATGGCTCTCATTTATTCTTGTGTTTAGATTTTTATCTTGAAAAGAATGAGGAAATATGGAAGATTTTTAAGACAGTACATTACATAACAAAATTTGCATAGTATAAGTAAGACTCTAGCATCCCATTGTGGGACAAATTGGAAAGTGTACTACAAATGGAGGCAAGAAGGCTAGTTAGAAGATTATTATAACAGTCCCTGTGGAAAATAAAAAGAGCCTTTACTGAAACAGTGACCACAAAAATGGGGAAAAGCAGATGGACGTGACAGTGCCTCAAGGGGTAGAACCCATGGAATTTAGTCACAGATTAGAAGCTTGTGGGTAGGCAAGGATAGATGGAACAGGTGAAATCATAAGTTAATGTCTTCCAAATGCCTGGTTTGTATGACTTGATGGATGGTGCAACAGGAAGGGAATACAGAATGAGGAAAAAGATAACAAATTCATGGAAATGTTGCACTTGAGATAACGGTAGAATAATCAGGGGCTGGTATCCAGGGTTAGTAGACTGTATTGGTATCAGTGGGGACCCCTGCTTACCTCACTTGAAGATTGGAAATTGGAATGAATGGAACTTTCTGGGTATAAGGATTTTGAGAGACAAGGAAGAGCTAAAGATAAAATCTTGAGTAATATCTACTTTTAGGAAAGAGTGGAGAGGAGGCTTTGAAAAAAGGGAAGCATGGTTAAAATGTAAAAAGACAATAAATTACATTGTTTTAAAGTCCAAAGTCCAAAGACCAATCGTATATTTCAAGATGTAAACAGTTGTCAAGATGCCTAAGAAATTAATCTGCAGAAGAGTTCTCCTAATGGATATGTCATCAGATATTTACCACATTGGCATACCTTCAGATTGTAAAAGTAAAGAAGTAAAATAAGAGCTTTTGCATTGTGCATATATTTATTGAGCATGTACTTTGAGCACAGCAGTAGGCCAAGCAATTATTAGATATGGGGAGTGAAAACTTACGAGACTTATACCCTAGTGAACTACATCCCAAGACAAACAGCATTCTGAGACTTCATCACTGCTTCCACTTATTTTTAATTTAGAAATTTTGTGGGCTGTTTATGTTTTCTTTTCTTTGTGCCTTTATTGAATACTTTATCTCATTTATAACATTTATAGTTTTATATAATTAAATGTATTATAATTCTTTTACAATTTTTTTATCCTAATTTAAATTTTTTAATATGGGCTCTCACTTTATTGCCTAGGCTGGAATGTAGTGGCTGTTCACAAGCACTATCATAGCTCATTGCAGCCTTGAATTCCTGAAGTAATCCTCGTGTCTCAGCTTCCCAAGTAGCTGGGACTATAGGAACATGCCGTCACACCCGGTTAACTGTACTGTATTTCTTTGAGTATGATTGCATGAAAGTTTTCCAATCCCTATAATTAATATAGCATAAGTTAGAGCTAGAGACCTTAAATGTTGTGGTGAGAATAATATTAGTTAAAAATGAAGTGCACATAAAGGCAAATAATTATTGTTATTATTTATAATGATAATGATATTCTTTCTTATATCACCCATATTTTAGTGTCATAAACCCTGATATTTGCTCTACAGCCATTTATATTTATATCCTGGTACCCAAGATTGTTGTGCACAAGTTGATATTCAACAAATGTTCGTTAAAAATACAGATAAATGAATAAAATGTTTTGCAACATGGCATAAAGGTGGGCATTTTGCCCCTGGATGTTATTAAAAGGTGAGTTTGTATAACAGGTCCAACAGTTGCATTAAATCTGCAAACATGTGTTAATTATTTTGACCAGTGTTTTCTGCTGAGCATGTGCCTTTATAAATGATATTTTTGCTACTTTAATTTTAATGATCGATTAAAAGGTTTACTAATTGCAAATGAAATCTTCTGTAAAAAGGAATATAAATGGAGGAATGCAGAGTCTCACATTAAGATTAGAAAGCCAGGTGCAGTAATGTGCACCTGTAGTCTTAGCTACTTAGGAGGCTGAGGTGAGAGGATCACTTGAGACCAGGAATTTGAGTTTAGCCTGGGCAATACAGCAAGATACCATCTCAAAAAAAAAAATCAGGGAAGAGCTTTGATAAGATATTAAACACATAAACTATTCCAACCAAACAGGCTGAAACACAGTCTGATCTCTTAGCTTTTATATTTTAAGTAATTATCATGGGGTTTGAGCATTTGTGATCAGAAAGAGATCTTGGAAATAATCTATAACAACACCTGTAATATCTTATAAGCAAAAATGAGAGGCAGTGTAGCAAACTGTTCAACAGCACAGACTTTGGAACCCAACTGCCTGAATTTCAAAAGTGACTTTGATACGTGACCAATGATATAAACCTGAATTTATTACTTCATGGCTCCATGCCTCAGTTTTATAATCTGCAAAATGAATATAAACATATAATACTTACTTAATAAAGCAGTCATAAGGAATCAGTGAGTTAATATATGTTAAAATGCTTCAAACAAAACTAGCAACTAAATAAGGTGATATATACATGTGAATGTTGAGGATGAAGATTATGACACTGATCTCAGAGAGTGTTAAGATACCAGTCAAAGCAACATACATGGGGGATTATTCCAATATATGGTGTCATTTAAACTTGTCTTCCCATATCTGTGGTGCAAGCCGTTTTATATGCCAGTGATACGTCACTTATGTTTATTTGCATTTTTACATGACTTGGAATGACTGAGAAAAAACTACATTATTAAATTGGTCCAATATTAATAGTACCAAATTTTAAATTTGAAGGTAAATTTTGAAGGTAGTGTATCTACCACTTAGATGTACATTCTTTTTTTTTTTTTTTTTTTTTTTTGAGACAAAGTTTCACTCTTGTTGCCCAAGGCTGGAGTGCAACAGCGCAATCTCAGCTCACTGCAATCTCCGCCTCCTGGGTTCAAGCAATTCTCTTGCCTCAGCTTCCCAAGTGGCTGGGATTACAGGCATGCCCCACCATGCCCGGGTAAATTTTGTGTTTTTAATAGAGACGGGGTTTCTCCATGTTGGTCAGGCTGGTCTCAAACTCCTGACCTCAAGTGTTCTGCTCGCCTTGGCCTCCCAAAGTGCTGCTCGCCTCGGCCTCCCAAAGTGAGCCACCACGCCGGACCTAGATGTACATTCCTAAATAATTTTTTATTACATCATATTCATCATTTTCTTCATATCACTTACTCATATGTGACATTTTCTTGCTCACTCATTTGTTCAGTTGTAGAGTAAATCCAACATGGCAGGAACTTTGCTTGTCTTTTCACACCTAAATGTCCTAGTCCCCAGAAGAGGGACTAAGACACTGTAGGCCTTCAATAAAACATATTGGGTGAATGAATGTCATAGACTGTGATCCAGCGATATGGGCTTGGCATGGGGGAGTAAGTCGATTTAAGTGATACTGAACTGATAGTGCATTTGTATACAATACTTGACTCAAGTTCCAGCCCCTACCTTGGACCAGTTATTTTACCTCACCGAGTCTTAGTTTTCTGGTCTGTATAATTAATACAATTAACATAACAATACAGACTTTGAGGTTGTAGTGAGGAAAAAAATTAGTTAATAATTAAGTATACATAGCAGGCACTCAATTATCAATATTATTATCAGTATTGCTAGTAACACTCCTAGTTAAATCATCCACATTTTTGATAGTTTATTAATATAAATATTATCTATTAAATCACCCATGTTTTAGATATATTTATTAATGAAATTAATAAAATAGTGTTGACAATATCACATATGGCTTTATCTTGATAGTAATATAAGGATCCCCTACTCCTGATTTTATTATACAAATTATAAACACCATCAATAGTTTAAGTCCTTGCTTATCAAAGTATGGCTCCAGGACCGGCAGAATCAGCATCACCAGTGACTTAAAAATGTTAGCATCCAGGCCCCATTCCAGACCTACTGGATCAAAACCTGCATTTAACAAGCTTCCCTGCCTGCCCAACCCCAGATGATGTGTACGCACATTGATGTTTGAGAAGTCTGTGTTTCAGGTGATATTTTTAAAGGCTAGTAAGTATTTAAGAATCCCATAAGAAAGGGAAAAATGCAAATATTCCTCACTAAAACAATTCATCTCGCTTCCTACTTGACGATGATTTTAGGACAGGAGAATATAGTATTGTAAAATTGAGAGGAAAAGAGAAGAAGTTTATAGTTACAATCTACCTATAGGAAATTTTGTCTTATTGCATAACATGGACTCCCTTTTGAGTCAGCGCTTATAAGTACAAGCAAAATGGTGCTATTATACACATTGTACCCTCTGCCCTATAGAGTGAATTACAAAGTGTGAAAATATAATGACTACTACCGGGATATTTAATAAGAAGGATAAAGTAATAATTTAAGAAAAACGATTTCCTGAGAGACTAAAGATTAGGATTAAAATGAGAGTTAGAATAGCATAGAGGTAATTCAACATTTGATTAAGGACTTAATCTACTTATCTTTATTCAATTCAAGCTTTTTTTTTTCAAATTATTAAAATTTGGTGAAATGAGAGTTATTTTTAGATGTTCTTGCCCCGGAGTAAAAGAGTAGTAGATAGAGGATATAAGGACATACAAGATGAAGGATTTAAGATAACATTGGTGATAGAGACAATGGATTATGAAAATGATCACTTTATATTCTGTAAATTTCCTGAATTCAAAATGCCATATCAAAATTCTCTGATGTTTATGAAAAAGAAAAGTTATAGTGGAATGTGCTAAGTGTGTGGATGATGGGTAGTGAAGATGATGATCCCCATGAAGAGATTGGGGTGAAAAACCAAGAGAAATAAAGAGAGAGAGAAAAAAGACACATAGAATTTTGATAACTGAATTGTATTTGGAAAGATAAATTGGCCAATGGCACTGAAAAAGAAATCCTCACCACTACAACACCCTTGAGTTCATAAATATGCCAGTATCTATTTTTTCATTATTAGTAGACAAGGCTGTGTCCTTTCCTTTGATGACGGTAACGAGTTCTATGACATTGCCACTTTGAGTTCTTGCTTCATTAGATTGGGTGACTGTTTATTTGAAATTGTAATGAAATATTTACTTTATAGAGCTATAAGGATTAACTGTGATAATTGAGTGAGGCTGATCTGGAGCTTTCAGTGTAATAGGTCCCCCTTGTTTGAATACAGAGCGCAGTGAGAATGAACGAGCAAGTGAGTGTGTTTCTGCCTGTCACTTTCTTTCTACATGTTGCTTTTTCTTCTGGAGATAAGTGGGCCTAATGCTGAACAAATACTGGAAATCAGAAGCCACTGAGAATCATTCGCCTCTCGCTTTCCCATGGCAGCATGATAGACGCTCAATCAAAGAACCCCCTCCTCTCAGCAAAGCAACAATTTTGTCACCACGAGCAAATCCAATTGAAAAGTCCCTTGGACTGAGAGGAGAACTCCAGTTGTCAGAATCAGCAAACAGAATGAAAAGAACTAAGAGGAGTAAATTGGCACCTGGGGCCGCCGTGGTAGCCTGTGATAGGCTGTGGCATTGTGTTGGGTAGACATTCAGCCATTTTCAGATATAATGGGAGAAATTAATGCAAATGAGTCAATGGAATGAAATGCATTTTAATGCAGATTTGAGGGACTATCCTGAACTGCTTGATAACAAGTCGCTTTAAGAAAAGGCTTACATTGTGAGGACTCATTTTTTCCCCATTTCTTCTCACTAGTGCCTCATAAGGGCCCTTTGTTCTCTAAGTAAACTCTTTCTAAACTATTGACATTGCTCATTTATGTGAATTTCAGATTTTTTTTTTCTCCCTGACAAAGTAGCCTTGGGTGATCTGGGAAAACGTTAATTGCAAGAGGACAAGGAAACTGGCTGAAACAAGAAATGCAGTCATTAAGTGTAATGTTGCAGTTGTCCATGCCTCATTATAACATGCATACAAGGCAATAAAATGCATGTTTCACAAACAAATCTTTTGACAACTATAGTTCAAGAGCCTCCAGCTGTCCTGCTTTTTTACATCTATTTCTCTTGGTTTAGTAATCATTATTGAAGCTAAACTTTAAATTCCCAGAACAGTCCTTCATATTATGCAAGAACCATGAAGATATTAGAGTTAAAAATTGTTTACTTTAATATTTAAAAATATTTGCTTTCCAAAGTTAACTGGAATTTCTCACTAATGTTTTGTTTTGAAAATGACACTTAATAATAGTGAGGGCAGCGTGGGGGTTGGGGGGAATGAACTTAATCCCAAAAAAGGCACTCTTTTATAAACCAATATTTAAAATATTTAGCTCCCTTAGGCTGTCTTTCCATGAAGAAAAAATAAAGGCTTCATCTTCCACATTTAAGGTCATGATGGTTTCACTGGACTATAAATGCCTATCTTTTTTTTTTAGGGACAAAAATAGTTAATCAGATGAAAAGGTCATCAAGTCTTAGTGCAGCTTAAAACTGGTGAACTGTCAGACTCTCAAGTAAAAGCAGCCAGAAAGGGGAAAAAAAGGTAACAGATTCAGCATTGTCCAAAAGTTCCAGACCAGTGATTAATGTGTAAGATAATGGACTTGGGAAATGAGTAAACACTCCCCATGCTCCCTGCTTTGTGCTTGAACGACTTGATGACAAGGGCAGAGCAAGGTGAGAATTTAAACAGGACCACAGGAAAAAAAAAAAAAGACAAAGACTGGCAACAACATAATGCGAGGGAGGGGGAGTTTACTGGTTTGCAGTCTAAAAGGTACATAATAACTTTCTTCAAAGCAGGCCTTAACAGTGTACTAATTTAAACTTCAACATGGGCATGGAATTACCCGTAGAAATTATATGCCACTCAGTCATCTTTTAATATACCGGATATTTATATGTACTTGTTTTCATTTATTTGTTGTTAACTTCCTTCGGCAGACCCATTAAGCATTTAGATACATATTTGTGTTCAGATGTATCATCCTCAGGGAAAGGAGATGCTGTATTTTGATTAAGTGGTGCGTTTCAAGGTATTTCAAGCTATTCTTAAATAATTATATAGGCACATTTTAGAGTATTCCTCCATAAAAAAATATTTGAGGATCTGGATGCCTTGCTAGCTGTCGCACTGCATTTCTTAGCAATCTGTCATCACTTGAACTTACACTTTTCTTGATCACATTGAAGACCTTTTATATGTATAAAACATTTATTTACTTTGAATAAAACTTGTTTTGTTTCCAGGTTCTCACTCCCTGTATTTCTTTAGACACCTACAGAGGTGTTTTCCAGGGATCTCTTTTTATAGGATCAGTAGCTTAAACATGTTAATTTTGTCAGTCTTTTACATAAAAATCTATTTCTGCTCTGTCAATCTGTTTTAAATGCACACATCACAACTGACACCCACTGAGGATTTATTTGTCTCTAAAAAAATCCTGACAATTTCTCTGGACAAATGTTACCCATCACCTTAAACGGTGCTTAATGAACTTTGAGCAATGGCCATGGAGAGACTGTGTTCACAGCCCTAAATCTCTATATTGTTGTCAGGTAATCAAGTCTTCGGTGGTCAATTTAAAAATATTTGAAATTATCATATTGGTTCTGAATACAATATTCATCATTTTTCTTTTAATCATAGAGAGGTTTGTAATTATGTTTATGTATATTTTGTAAATTAAGTCCATAATTTAAAAAATCTTGATATTGCATCTTCCTAAAGGCACTTCAGTGATTCAACCCTGAAAAGCATGATAATACAGAAATGCCATTGTGATTATCAACAACTGGATTGCTACTTTCAAAGTACCTTTAAGGCCAGGCGTGGTGGCTCACACCTGTAATCCCAGCACGTTGGGAGGCCGAGGTGGGCAGATCACCTGAGGTCAGGAGATCAAGATCAGCCTGGCCAACATGGTGAAGCCCCATCTCTACAAAAATACAAAAATTAGCTGGGCATAATGGCGGGTGCCTGTAATCCCAGCTACTCAGGAGGTTGAGGCTGGAGCATCGCTTGAACCTGGGAGGCAGAGATTACAGTGAGCCAAGATTGCACCATTGTACTCCAGCCTGGGCGACAGAGCAAGACTCTGTCTCAAAAAAAAAAAAAAAAAAAGTACCTTTAAAAATTCTCTTGGCTTTTCAACAACAGACTGGTGAGATTGGCATTATTACACCCATTTCTGTGATTAGGAAAAATGGTCCCTACAGAGGTTAAGTGATTTGTTCAGGTTAGACAACAAAGACTCTACAGAGCCATTTGGCCACTGGTCCGTTTATTTTACTAAAGCTCCAAAGAAAATGCCTTTAAAAAAATCAAGTTATTTCCTTATATTGCTTGTGTTCTAGTGCTTATGGCATTTAGGGTATTAAAACAGTTTTTCTTAATTTTTCTTTTGATCCCAAGTCTTGAATTACTATGTATTGATTTAAGTGATATTTTAACATTTAATTGAATGCATGTTTATTATGAGTTACTGAGGCATAATATTAATTATTCAAGCTAAATAAACTATTTTTGCTTTATGTCAATAATAAGCCCTTTCAAAAATCTTCAAACGTGTGTTACATTTTTATTAGGACTTTTAATACATATTTCTCATGTTTTATGCATTGAATTGTACTTAACAAAAATCAAACAGTCACAGTATATGAGTTTTTTGTTACAAATTTGTTACGTGAGCCATCGTTTCTCCTGATCCTTTACATTCACTATGTCATTCTCACAAGTGAACAACATCCAGGCAAGCATATATCCCAATTTGACGTCTCTATGATAATCAGATATTCAATTCTGCTTGATTTAAAGCAAACTTTCTATATATACTGAGAGTTATGATTTTTCCTTTAGAAAATTGAGTGGATTTCAAATTTTGCTATTAAATATATTTTGCTTCTAAAAATCTGAATTTATATTTCTACTCTAAAGATGATTGTTTTGTATTATAATTATACCATTTTATATCAGTCTTCCTCATTAGACTGTGAGTTCATCCAGTTAGAGGAATCCTGCCCTATCTATCTTGACCTTTATTTCTGTGATTGCCAATACAGTGTCCAGGACATAGCTGCCACTCAACACAGTATCTTTTAAAATAAAATGTTTTTTTTTTTCATTGTTTTGAAAACAAACCCTAAACCATAATATAAGTCCTTTCAATATTCTGAGAATGTTGAATTATAAGTTTTAAAAGGATAAATGAGGGTGGATGTTCAATTCTCTGAACCCTGGATTTCTAGGAAATAAAAATGAATTCCTGGTAGATGGGGTCTAAGTATACTTTTAAATGTCTTGGCCGGGTGCGGTGGCTCACACTTAGGTAATCCCAGCACTTTGGGAGGCCAAGGCGGGCAGATCACGAGGTCAGGAGATCAAGACCATCCTGGCTAACACTGTGAGAACCTGTCTCTACTAAAAATACAAAAAAAAAGAAAAAAAAATTAGCCGAGTGTGGTGGCATGTGCCTGTAGTCCCAGGTACTCGGGAGACTGAGGCAGGAGAATTGCTCGAAACTGGGAGGCAGAGATTGCAGTGAGCCGAGATCGGGCTACCGCACTCCTGTCTGGGCGACAGAGTGAGACTTCGTCTTAAAAGAAAAAAAAAATAAAAAAGTCTTTAGTTTACGCATTTTAGTCTTTAAATTTAAATAATTTAAATTTTCTAGCCATTACTTTAATATTTAACATTTTTTAGTATTTTTTCCATACCGTCTCAGCCAATAAATTAATGGTCTATGATGAATATTCTCTATTATTTTGGTATAGTATCATAAGTTTAAAAGTAATGGTTTCCATATATTTGTTGCTAATGCTGTGATTAAAAGAAATACTTTTAGAATTCATGTGAAAGGAAGAGAGTAGGCAAGGGACAGACTTGATTTAGTTTGAAGACATTATACAAGTCTGTCTCTATTCTTAGATAGTAATTTGGGGAAAGTAGTATCCCATGTTCTTAAAGATCTATGTGAAGAAATTGATAGCTACATCATTTCCTCTTAATGTACTGAATTAAAAGTTAGGATACATACCTTTCAGACTAGGTTCTGCTACTTAGTAGCCCTGGAACTGTCTGAATTTCAGGGGTGCCATTTGCAAAACAAGACAAATTAGACCTAACTTAAGACTTCCTAGCTCTAACAATAATCTTGGGACCTTGGGACATTGACTGCAGAAAGAAGAGATTTAACTAGCTTTGGTCAGAGCAATAAAATTAACACCAGTTTCGTCTGGCCCACTGATGTCACAATTTAAACTTGAAAGAGAGTTCTGTGAAAATAGCTTTTCATCACCATTGTTTTTCTGATTGGGGTCCATGTTTAAATAGCTACCTGTATAACAGCCTTGTATTGCAGCTTTAATATCCAAAATATCTTTTTTTCCTCAACTCATGTGTGATATATTAATAAAATTCTCATAAACAGATTTTTCTTGTTTTGCTATACTTGATTGAGGTCTGCTATAAAAAATTAAAGCTACTAAAGGTGGGGAGATATCGGCAACTCTGTTGAACACTGCTATTCAGTATTAGCCAAGTGGAGTGTTTCCAGGCAACATCTTAGTATGTAGAATCTACCCTGAACATGATAAAATAAAACTCATAGACAAAGTTAATGATTTTTCTTGTTAATTTTCAAAGAGAAGATGAAGAGATAAAGTAGTTTATGATGATTTCCCCCCGGCCCCGGTCTTTTTGCCCATCTCCTGGATAAAAACAGAATGATATTAAAAGCGATGTGACCCAAGGAAGAAATGATATTTAACAATTCATAACATACTTGCCTTATTATTCTACCTCTTTGTTTTTTATTAGACTCTCCTGCAATGCAGTGAATCACCAGATAGTGGCGTTTTTTACGTTTTGCAGAGTTGTGCGATATATTTGTGCCTTTTTTTTTTTCCTGGTTATGTCTAAAAGATATAATTTGGCCTACATTTATCTTTAATGGAATATTTTTTGAGAATTTCATGAAATACTTTAGGAAATGTGAGACACCCTGGGGTATTACAAAATCTGGGCTGGAAATCACTGGCCCAGAGAATGGTTACTAAAGTCTGACAGCTGTTGGGTCAACGGGCTAAGCCATTTAACCTCCATAAACCTCATTTTCCTCATCTGTAAAACAAAACTCTTAGTGCTGACCTACTTCATAGTTCAGGTTGGCAGCAGCTAGGAAAATACTGAGAGTCATCATCCCCTTGCAAAGTATCAACTCCCATATCTTCTAAAGACTGTACATACCATAGTACAGATACTTGATTGCATAGCATGAAAGGGGGCAAGGAAAGGTAAATTATTATTTGTAGTTGGACAGGAGCCAGGAAGCATATCTCATATTTTTAGAGATATTAATTGGGAGTATCTATATCCAGAGCCATGGGCGATGCCAGAAGGGAAATGGGCACGATCAGAGAGGAAGCACTAACCAGGTGAGCCAGCTGTGAATTCCTCCATTTTAAAGCACTAATAGAACAGTCTGGAACTTTGCTTGAGGAAATACATATTTATTTTGCTGAAACAGGATATGAAAAAAAGAGAAAATGGAGGAAAATAAAAGTAATACTCCAGTGGATGATGTATAGAGTACATTAAAAAAGATAATCATGAGTCACATTAAGTCAGAATTAAGCTGCTTCTGATTTAGTATGTTATTTTGGTTTCTCTTTGCATCTGTGGCCTGAACCAATTAAAATATTTTGAAACAATAAAACATTTGGTCATTTATACTTTGACTATGGCATGAGAATTACTCTATATTACTTTTGTATGATTTGTACACATGGCAACTAATATTTCTTGTATAGTAGTTTACAGCTCTTGGCAGCTTTAGGGGTAGCTGATCACAGTGACTTTGGTTTTAAAAAGGAAATATGGAATAATCCAAAAAAGAATAAACCATTGCAGATAATTGAGAATTGATTATATTTCACACACTCAAAATGTGGAAAGTTCTAAAGTGCTCTTCCACTTGCGAAGCAAGTTAGGTAGGCTGGTAGTGAAATATTGAGGGCAATTTTCTTCATACTATTACTGGAACAGTGTCAGCAAGGCAATCTATGAATGTTTGTACTTTTTCAGACCTGGATATACTAACTTCGTTATTTATATATCTTGGTAAGCGATAAATGAAAAAGGCATTTAAAAAACTTGCATACTTCTTTAAGTGATTACATCTTCAAGCAGATGTTAAAATAAGGATTAGCCTTTTTTTGCATGTGATGGTGCACGAACCTTTTAAGGAATCTGTGAATTATTGCTTTGGTTCAGCAGGAGTGCAGTAAGAAGAAATGTACCTCATCTGTAATACACTGTGTAGACTAATATCAGCTCCTTTTTTCTTATATTGCAGCGAGATATTGATCTGGTAAAATGGTACCATATTGGAGCTGTCTGTTGTGGTATTCATCATGCTGTCACATCCCTAGTGCCTTGAAGTTATTGGAAAGTGGAATTGAGAGAGTTCTGTCATTTGGTGTGGCAATCCATTCACAGGACAGTCACTACAATATTTGCAGTGGTTCGCTTATTTTTCTAGCCAGGATAGCTTCACCTTTAGTAACAAGAGGGCCTTTCTATTATCCCATGCATAGTGGTATTAATAGGTTAGGTTTAACTCTTCTCTGGCTTGCTTTCCTTGTGTATCATTGCTCTTTTCTAGTCACTGCTCACACCTGCTGCCTGTCCTGATGCTGATGTATTGGGCTTATTTCTGTGGGACTAGTATATCTGAACTGTGACTTCAAGTCCCTTATGCTTTTATCTGACGGTGGTGAGAAGGCAAAAGATGAACTTTTATATGTAGAAAGCTTTAGTTTCTTCACACACTAAAATATCAGTTAATGTTAAAAGAGCTTTCAAAATATAAAAAGATACTGTCAATCTTCAATGACTAGATTAAGGAGTTTGAATGAATTATTTTTGTTTTGGATTCTTGCTGGCAACCTGATGATTTTAGTAGAATGTCATGTTTTCTTAAAAAATCAGAAATGACAGATTTTGTTTGGGGGAAATAATTATTATCTACTAAAGAGTGTTAAAGTGTATAAAGTGTTGTTAATCTTTAGAAAGATGAGTTCCTGAAATTCCAAGTAATAATAATTTCAGCTATAGCTAAGTAACTGAGCAACAGAGAGAGAGAGAGAGAGAGAGAGAAAGGAAGAGAGACAGACAGAGAGAGAAAGAGAGAGAATTTCCTGGTTTGTAGGAATTTAAATGCAATTTTAAAAGTTGAATAATATCAAACTAGGTTACTATTTTGATAGACACTAATGGAAAAATTATGGCTACTAGAAACCAAGACTATAGTTCTTTGGAGAAAGTATATTTTTAAAATCAACAGTTGAATAGAACTAAATATGCAAATATATGATGTATTTAATGTACGATTGTGCACTATTGTTAATACACATTCACAGCATGCACTGTAATAGCTCAGAAGGAGCTTTCAGAGCATTTATGAGCTATGACATGCATTTATATTGAGTTATCCGTATGTTTTCTATGCTAATCTTAAAAATGTCCACTTATTTGCTGTTGCTTCAGGAGGATTAAAACCTCTGAGAGGATGGCATTTCAGTGACTTTTCTATTCTTTCATTAGTCAGTATTTTTGTTTATATCACACTTACTATAAAGGAAATACTAAGGGACTCACAGAATCAAGAGAGATTTTTTAAAATTTCAATAAACAATGCCATAAATTGGGTGATACATAATAGTAGAATTCACACATAAAAGTTTTTAAATAAGTAGCAAAGCAGTAACAAATATTGATCACAAGGAGTGTATAAGTTTTTGTAGAAATACTAAGTTCTCATTTCAGTGACATATTTGGCTTAGTTTGCATTATTGCTTAATATGAGATGAAGCATATTATTTTAAGAGGTGAGAAAACCATACAATCTAATATTTTGTTGACATATTTTTCTATTATTTAAAATTGTTAGTTTTTTACTTTTTACTTTCATATTTACTCTTACTCCTGCTAGATATTTTTCAGAATGTATTTTCATTTTAGATAGTTTACTCATACTACATCTTACATCAGGACATGCTAGAGGTGAGGGTTTATTTCTGGTGAATCAACATGTAAGATGTAATTATAAAATAATTTCTGTATCCCATTAAGAATTTAGATCAACAATATCTTCAATTATTAGACAGGGCAGAATTTTGCAAAGCCATTATTGTGCTCTTGGTATTCACTAGAATGGACAGAAATAGAACATCACTGTCCTCTGTAAACAGTTTCAATTTGATCTGTGTACATGATAAAAATCTTGGCTTCTCAATGCATTTAGGTGCTGTCATAGCTGTTGTTGCCAAATAAGAATGCAGTGTGATGTTATTATAGTAAACAGCACTTAAGCACAGCTGGCAGAATTGATCAGGGCCACATTAGAGTGAACTTCAACAGATGACTGACGCAGCAGAAACAATAACTGAATATGCAAACAGTTCTTGCAGTGAATGCTCTGGGGATCAGGCACCATTATTTTTGACTTTGAACAGGGAAAAGGGGCAGATTTGTAACCTCCTTCCATACAGAAGGGTTCTGGGTATTATGTAAACATCTGACTGCCATTTATAATGCTGGTTAGTTACAATGCAAAACTGAAGCCTCTCCTGACTATTTACATTCCATTAATTATTAAAGGAGAAAAACATAAACATCAGATAACTTTGTTTAATGTTTCACATAGGATTTATTTTTTTTAGCCATCTTTTCTCAATTAATGTTAGTCATCAAGAATTTCTGGTTTAACTTGGACAACAATGTGTGTGTTTCATTGATGGCTCCCACCCCTTCCCCTAATTATTACAAGAGCTAATTATGTGAACTACATATTGCTGTTTTCTTATTGTAATGATTGAATCATTAAAAGTAAGCAGTGTAGAAATATTAGATAACATTTATTCATGATATTTCTTTTATTCTTGGTTTTAAAGTCAATTTCTATTTTGCTAATAACTAAAAATATCAAAAAGCCATGCATGGTAGTGAGGACAATTAAATTAAACAACACTTTCATTTCCTAGTTCAGCATTTATTTATTGAATTCTAAAGAAACAATTTGCACTTTAAAGCAATATTAAACAATTATTCTTATAATATACTCTAGCTAAGACACATATTAAATGAAATCATACATTAGATTGTTATTAAAGGGTACATTTACTTGAAATGCTAACTTTTCTCATTCTTTTTGTTAGACCCTTAATTCTGTTGTCATTCATTCATTTGCTATGTGAATTTATTAATTAAATAAACACAGATGTGGCATTTTTGCGGCAGTGTAAGGTACAGTTTCTTAGTCCAAGGATTAGGGAACAATTCAAAAAAAGCAATTATTGCATGGTAGGGTAAGTGGTTGCTACTGGCATGCAAAGAGAGTGTATTTCAAGAAGCTCAGGTATTTCAGGGAAAGTTTTCTAGAGGAGATGATGTTAAAGTATAGACTCTAAACATCGGTATAGTGGAGTGGGGAGGAGAAGCAGGGGAAAGGAGGATGTTCCAGGCGGAGAAAGAGCATGAGAGAAAGCAAGCTGTTAAGAGTGAATGTGACAGAATTTTTGAACTCTGTATGATATTTATTCCCAACAGAGTACCTGGCACATAGTAGGTGCTTCCATAAATAGTTGCTTGAAAGCATAAAAGTTTGAGATAAAGACAAGTGTTTGTTTATTTTTGTCTTTAACTTGGCTTTCACAACTGGTGGTCCCTTTCTTCAATCATTCCTCTCCGGATCCTCAGCTCTCCGCTTATCTAGCTCTTACCTCTCACCCTCATGATGCTTGTTTTCAAAATGGAGACAATAATGCCTATAGCATGGAGTTGTTGTGAAGCTTGGAGATGACGGTTACGGAACTCGTGTTCCTTAGTCGGGTTCACAGAATGGTATAAACGACTAACAGTTTCCCAAGTGTTGTTCCTCTCTACAATATTAACATTTCTTTAGTGCATCATGTTTTAAATCTGAGGGATGATTCCTTAATTGTGCACTTAAGGGAATGCCTGTAATTTTCTCATTTGAAAGAGGCTGAAAAAGGTAAATTTGTCAAAATATTAGTAATAATAATTATGTTTACTGAGTACTGACTCTGTGCCAAGCACTGTGCTAAGAGCTGGGATTTGCGGCATTATCCATCATTCATTTGGTGTATCAGCCCAGGTTTTATCTGATTTGTTCAACTTTTTCTTAACAAATGCCCCCCCCTCAAAAAAAATCTAGTGTGTTCTCAAATTATACATTAAATAGAAATTAGTCATTGGATATTTTTAGGCAAATTAAAATCTTCATAATTTACACACAAAGTGCTTGGATTTTGGATTGGTGAACAGAAAAATATAGAAAATAGGGCCAGGCAAAGTGGCTCAAGTCTGTAATCCCAGCACTTTGGGAGGCCGAGGCGGTGGATCACTTGAGATGAGGAGTTCGAGACCAGCCTGGCCAACATGCTGAAACCCCATCTCTACTGAAAATACAAAATTAGCTGGGCATGGTGGCAGGCACCTGTAATCCCAGTGACTCAGGAGGCTAAGGCCCAAGAATCGCTTGAACCCAGAAGGCAGAGGTGGCAGTGAGCTGAGATCATGCCACTGTATTCCAGCCTGGGTGACAGAGTGAGATTCCATCTGAAAGAAAGAAATAAAAGGAAAGAAGAAAGAGAGAGAGAGAAAGAAAGAGAGAAAGAAAGAAAGAAAGAAAGAAAGAAAGAAAGAAAGAAAGAAAGAAAGAAAGAGAAAGAAAGAAAGAAAGAAAGAAAGAAAGAAAGAAAGAAAGAAAGAAAGAAAGAGAAAAAATATTTTTTATATTTCAGGTAACATAGAGAAAAATTAGTAAAATCTAATCATGTTATGAAAGATGATATATTAGTTAAGAAAATGTCCCATATGTTTTTGTTTTTGAAATCCTTACATTATTTTCTGAGCTAACAAATAGGCATTGTTCTTTGAAAACATGAAAAGCAGACTTCCAGTTAGCTTATACAGGGCAGACACCTCAAGGCCCTGGGAATGAGGATTGCTATAGTAGTAGACAAAGAGGGACCTGTTGACCTTTATTCAATGGTGCCCCCAGAGTGAGCTCAAGGGCAAAGGATGTTCTGGGGATGATGGAAAATAAGCAACAGGAATATCATTCTAGCGAAGCAAGCAGACCCTCCACTGGGTTCCCTTAAATTGATTTCTCTTTTTAAAAACTAAGGGCTTGAGCTTGTTTTATTCCATCTGTAAAATGATTTCCAAGCACTTTTTTATCTCTAAGATCTCTTTAGCTGCCACTCACTGTGATCAGTTTTGGCCTTATGAACTGAAGTGTATGGTCTCAAAGTTGTATTCCATGTTACTTTATTTATCTTAGATAATGTCCCCTACCACTTTTTGCTGAGCAGAGACAATGTTACCCTGCTTCACTTTGCTTTCCCCCCCTCAACATTGTTTGGAGCTTGCTCCTTTTTTTTTTTTCAGATCCCAATATTAACAGAGCATGTTCACAACGTGTTAATCTGTGTGAATACATTTGTAAAGCTGGCCAGTAAGTAATAAATTTGAAGGTTACTTTGGATGGGAAAAGTATTCTAACTGTACTTAATCTTTTTATAGTTGGAAGTCAACATGCTGTCCCCCAAAGGTCTCTCCATATTGCTTTTTGCTTTTCACCAGATTAGATGGTTTATTTGCCTGTCAAGTTCATGCACAAACTGGGCAAGACCTTCCTGCACCTCAGGAATGTGAGAATGGACCAGGGTGGTCTCCAAAGTCCTACCTATCGGTCCTGAGAAAGCTGCTACAGTGCTATACAGGGACCCATTAGGACACAATTCATTAAAAATTCCCAGAGAAAGGAGGCTAGGATGGCAGAACTCAGATTTCCTTGCTTCCTCCCATGGACCCAGTAGAGACACTCTCAAGGTAAATGTAGCTCCCAAATTTATCTAAAACAAACATGTAGTGAGGAAACTCACAGAATCTCCTAGAGCATCCTTGTATGGAAGCCAGCCTGGGCATGACATGAATGCATTTTTAGCTGGGATGCCTGATTTTCTTTTTTCTGGCAGGGGGATGGAGTCTCACTCTGTCACCCAGGCTGGAGTGCAATGGTGCGATCTCTGCTCACTGCAACCTCCGCCTCCTAGGTTCAAACAATTTTCCTGCCTCAGCCTTCCTAGTAGCTGGGACTACAGAAATGCACCACCTCACCCAGCTAATTTTTTAATTTTTTTAGTAGAGACAGGGCTTCACCGTGTTGGCCAGGCTGGTCTTGAACTTCTGACCTCAAGTGATCCGCCTGCCTTGGCCTCCCAAAGTGCCAGGATTACAGGCATGAGCCACGACGCCAGGCCTGGGATGACTGATTTTAATTATTTTTTCTTATTAATTCTGTACAGTGTGTGGACTACATTACATTACAGTGTGTGGACTACATTACATGATCTAGTATTAACTCTCATCATTGTGAACAATTTTGAATTGTAGGTAATTTTTCCTATAAAAATTACCGTTCCTTTGCAGAAAATAGATATTATATATCATACAACTATTTGTATATACAAACACAATATTTAAATACATAAATGCAAAAATAGTTGATAGATATAGCTATTATGTGTCAGTACATATACATATGTGTTAATACATATGTGTTACTACAAGATTATGTGTTAGATATTGTGTTAATACATATACATATGTGTTAATACAGAAATGTGTACTCTATCAAGCTGAATATTTTTGGCAGGAAATATTTACCACATTGTATTTTTAGTATATCTTAAAATATATTAAAATAAATACATTCACTAAGTCGACATAGCTTTGACTTATACTTAGTGAAGACATTAGAGAAGTCCTAGCCACTTCTGGGAAGGAACCCAGAAACTTCTCTAACCTTACATGAGCAACCAGTGAAGGCTGGCACCAGTAGCTCATAAGCTTGATTAGATAACACAGGTAGCCTGCAGATACTGTGGAGGTTTTTTGTTTGTTTGTTTGTTTGTTTGTTTATACCATTTCTTTTATCAGAGATGCTAACACTGAGCACAGCAAAGAATAGGTTGCTGGTGCTCTGGGGGTATAAGAGGATTCCAAACAGGACTTTAGTGGTAAGGAATTTCCAGTGACCTGGGAATTTTTGTAGTTGATTTCATCTTATTAAAATCATTATGCCTTTTTTAGTGCCACATTTAAAAAACATATTGCAGTTAAGTGAGTTTACTTTTCATCAGTGACCAAATCTGAACTCCAAATGTGATTGATTTTTGTATTCTTAAACTCTAAGCTTCCACTTTGTCATCTATAAAGGGAAGAGTTTAATTTCAACATTTTCTTCCATTCCTATCTATGGGTTTCCTCTTCATTCATGTATATTTTGGAAGAATCTTTCTTGTACATGATGTTGTTTATTATTTTATTTTATTTTATTTGAAACAGGGTCTTGCTCTGTCATCAGGCTGGAGTGCAGTGGCGCAATCTCGGCTCAGCGCAACCTCTGCCTCCCGGGTTCAAGTGATTCTTCTGTCTCAGCCTCCCAAGTAGCTGGGGTTACAGGCGTGTGCCACCACGCCCAGCTAATTTTTGTATTTTTAGTAGAGAGGGGTTTTCACCATGTTGGCCAGGATGGTCTCGATCTCTTGACCTCGTGATCCACCCGCGTTGGCCTCCGAAAGTGCTGGGATTACAGGCTTGGGTCACCGCGCCCGGCCGCATTATGTTGTTTATTATGATGTAACAATTACTTTTAAAAAATATTGTCTTATCTCTTAGTAAGTATAGATAACTCTAATGTTTTGAGGTGTAGTGGTGGAACATGGTAACCCCTCTAGGTATTTTCCCTGCAAAAGCCCTGCAGTTTTATTGGGATTGAGTACACCGTTTTGTTTGCATAATGGCAGTTCTCAGTGTAGTCTTACTCCAGTTGGTGAAATGTAAAGCACCACTCACTTTGTAACATTGTCTTTTGGGCAGAATTGCACAGTTATACAAAGCAGTTACATGATGTTCTTGTTTGGTGACTGTTTCTCCAGGAAGATTCACATTGAATTATTTCTTAATCTCGATGTCACGTTTTGATGATACAGCTTAGTTGGTGGAAACCTGAAATCTGTGAAGCTATGTTTCATCTAGCCTTCTGTGCCATGCCATTGCAATTTAGACATCCATTAGAATTTATATATTATGATAGTATAATGCAATTTGCATATTCACCAAGTAGCAAGAAATTATTGCTTTTCTTCCCTTTGATACTGTGAGGTCATATCTGACATGCATACTAAAGTTTGGATGATAATTATCTTTTGGAGATGCCATTACTGCAGAGCATCCATTTTTCAAAGGTATTTGTGTGCCTATTACATATGTTCTCATGATAATGAACCTGTAGTAGAACTTTAAAAGAAAAGAAGGGGAAAACTAAAGTGGGGACAGATGAGTTCTTTAATAACTAAGAGATTTGTGGAAAGAAATAGTAGACAGAGAGACTTATTTTGAAACAAAAAAAAGGAATGAAAACAACCCTTTATAATATTCAGTGTCACATAGTCTACAACCTGATTGTATAAATGTGGTTTCATTTGATTTTCACAGCAATCTGTAAGGCAGATGATATTATTGCCACTTTATATATGAGAAACAATATTCCGAGATATGAATTTGCAAAAGGTAAAAGAATAAATAAAAATCCACAAAACTTCTGATTCTAAATCTAGTATTCTTTTCAACCAAACCTTGCTGGGTTGCTTATGTAGAATTCATGTTTGACTCCCAAGACAAAACTGGTAGAAGGTTAAAGAAAAATTCTAGAGTTTGCTAAAGCATATATACACTTTTAACCTATGATGTTTCATGAATTTAAAACAATTATAGAAGTTCCTTTCCTTTTTGTATGGATTCTCATAAAATCATATGAAATTTGATTTATAGTTTTCATAGAAATGTTTAAATCCCAACCAAAGTGGGCACCCATGTGTAATATTCTTCCAGGATAGTTGTTAAATATGTGATTGCATATTCTTAGCAGCATGGTCTTACTGTTTGGCTACACTAATTGTAAGAGTTTTTGCCTTCTTGTGGAAGTAAGAAGTGTCTGTTTGTTCCTGGTTCCTATGTGGATAGGCCACACTAATTCCCCTACTGCATCACAATTCTTCAGAATTGTGATAGGAAAGATACTTCTGGCTCTACCGTCCTCCAGGCAGGATATCACCATACCTTTAGTGCTTCCTCAGCTACAGCTTTCAGATTTTACCTCTGGTTGCTTTCTAGTTTGTGTATGTCTTTCTTGAACCGTATCAGGCATAAGCTAACCAATGCAGAAGATGGTGAGAATTCTAAGTGCCTTATCTGGGACACTGTACTTCTTTTCTTGTAAACTTCTAAAATTCATGAGCTATATTTCTGCTTCATTGCTGAATTACAATATGTTATGAGGTAGTCAGTTTATCCATTGATTATTATTTCCAAATCATCAAATGGTTCAACCTTTCTTTGTTGCTTTTTCTACTATTTAGGGAGGTATCTGTAACTGCACCAAGTCAATTTATTAAGTGCAATGCTTTTAGTAAAATGACACCTTCAACAGAGGTCAGGACAGTAAAATTTCCTTATTTACACCTTATCTGTCCTCTGTGGTATTGAGGTTTGGGCATGAGAACCAAAAAAGTAATTTGGTTCCTTTGTTATATTTTCGTTTTTACTTTCCAGGGTTGGGGGCTTTTATCAACCTGAAAAAATCTTTCTATAAATCAGTCGACTTTCAACATAATTAGGAGAAGCTGAGATGACATGGAAATAAATATTTCTGCAAAGGGATTCAGTCATTTTATTTGAAAAAGACATGAAAAGTTCCTTTAAAATATAATTTTCTTTTTTGCTAACATGAACAAATTAGAAAACTTTTTTTCAAACATTCATATCAATCTTCCTGAAACACTAATATTTATAAAGCCATAAAATCTGTTTAAAGGCAATTAGGAAACACAAATTGTCTAAGGAATTAAGTCCCACATCTCTTACCTGGCATAGGATATTCTCCAAATCAGATTCATTCCTGGCCTTTGCCATTTATCAGTTCAAGAGACTTTAGCAAGATACTGAAACCCTCTCCATTTTCTTATCTCTGAGGAAGGATGTATCTACCTCATAGAGTTGTAGGGACTGTGCGAAAAAGCAAAACCTTTAGCAAAGTGTGTGGCTCCTTGTCTTTAATAATCAGCAGTCCTGATTCTGCTGTATAGAAACAGCAACCCTTGACTTCAGACAGACCATGCAGTCTTGTCACTATTTCTCAAATATACTATTAGGATTCTATTTCCATGTATCAACTTTATTGGGGTCTTCTGCCATGGCTTTTCCCCCCACTCTGTTCCACATATCTAGAGTGTGTTCTGCTTTGGGGTTCACAAAAAATGTATTCCCTGATTATTCCTCCCTTTAGTGATCTGTCCTTCTTTTGGCATTCACATGACAAGTTTGCCAATAATTTCGGCAGTGAGTTAAGTGTATTATACAGCCTTGCTTAACTTCTGTCTTCTGGATATGTATGTCTTGGTCTCTATGCAATTGGAAACTCATTCTACTATGTCCATCATATCACTGTGTAAATACCAGGACTTCAGTAATGGTTATTTAATTCAAAAAGTTGTCCAATCAAGAAGTCAGTGTTTTAACCCTCACATATGTTATGTGACTTTAGGGGAGAAACTTTACCACAAGATTCATAAATTTCTACAGAGAAATAGCACATGGAATAAAAATTATTAGACTATCTTTAGAGAGGAGATGCTGAGTAGGAACAAGAGAAAAATAAAGGCAGATTTTGCTTATTTAAGTTGTCTATACTGATCCCTCTGCAAACTGACTTTTGGGAAATCCTTGAGGTAAAAAGGAAGATTGAAATGTTTCCAGTGTCTTAGAAAAAAAAAATGTATAAGATGAAGAAGATGATGTTGAAATATTCCCAAGGTGACATTTAGAAGAGGCTGCAATTCTGCAGACAGCAGAAATCCCTTTACTAATAGTAAAACATATCTTTATTTTTCATTGACACTTCTATTTTGCAGAGAAAACTACAAATAAAACATTTCTTTGCATTTTTCTTCCTTTTTTTTCCCCAATGGAGTAAATATGAATAAATTTTAGGAATGTCTCATATTTAACTAATGAAATTTTTGCTTGATAGTGGTTAGAACATTTTACATGTTATAATTTCAACATTAGTATGATATTTGGAGGGACAAGAAGAATAAAAAACTGGTAACGACCATTGATATTTAGAAGTTTAACTGAGGAAAATTAGTAACAAATTAAATTTCCATAGCATATCAGTAAAAACTTGGGTTCCAACTAATCTGTGGGGCTATGTATTAGTCTGTTTGCATGCTGTTGACAAAGACATACCTGACACTGGGAAGAAAAAGAGATTTAATTGGACTTACAGTTCCACATACCTGGGTAGACCTCAGAATCATGGCAGGAGGCGAAAGGTACTTTTTACATGGCAGCGGCAAGAGAAAAAGAGGAAGAAGCAAAAGCGGAAACCCCTGATAAACCTATCAGATTCTGTGAGACTTATTCATTGTCATTAAGAATAGCAGGGGAAAGACTGGCCCCCATGATTCAATTACCTCCCCCTGCATCCTTCCCACAACATGTGGGAATTGTGGGAGATACAATTCAAGTTGAAATTTGGGAGGCGGCACAGCTGAACCATATCAGTCTGTATTATCTCTCTTTTTTTCTGCTTTAAGTGACTATACGTAGGTGTTGTTTTCAGGGATTATACATAGGTATTCTGAAAGATGGGGTTATTTTCTGTTTCATTCTTTGACTAAGTGGCTTCTTTTGTCCTTATGTGCCAGAATAGCCTAAAAAATGAGAGAAAAATCACTCAAATAGAATTAAAAAGATTTGGGAAGAAAAATTATTTATTTTACATCTTTATCCATTATATCTGTTTAATAAGTTTATTTTATAGATTTAAATAAGTTAATAAGAGTTAAATTACATTTCAAATTTAGCATAAAAAATAATCTCTCTTAGACATATTATCAGAGGGATCATTAATTTTATCAAGCATTTTGAGGGAATGTATTATTGTCTTCAACAGAAAAATAAAAATACAATACTAAATAAAATAAAGAAGTGGATTGTAGGATTTTCCCCTAATAAAATGTCCCAATCTCTTTTTCATTTTAATACTTCCCC